>NC_000010.11:48173398-48324913 GCF_000001405.40 Homo sapiens
ACCCCACCATTAACCTGCCAAGGGCCACATTTGGAGTGGTCCAGCTCTCCCCCATCTGGTTTCTAAGATGTGAACATTCCCCATCAAGAACAGCTCCTCAGTGCCCCCTCCCCTCCACCTCCTCTCTCACTGCCAGTGACCCGCTGGGCCGTGGCAAGCTCTGGTTACCTTGGCTCACTGGACCCTGTCTGCACCCTTCTTGGTCCACCCCATCATGGCTGCCAGTGAATTGGTCTAAGACAAAAACTGAACATGCAACATTCTTGATTTAAAGTCTCCAATGCTTCCCATCACCTAAGACCCAAACCCATGGCACCCCAGGTCTGTACCACCTGCCCTCCCCTTTCTTTCCAATGTGATTTCCCACATTTCTCCCCACAACACCATATACCCTTGTCGCCCTAAGTGTGATTCAAGAACCAGCAGATAGACATCACCTGGAAGCTTCTCAGAAATGCCAAGCTCCCATTCAGGGCATGTGGCCCTGCCTTCATCTTCCTGTTGCACCTGTCACTCAGCACCTGGCCCAGGATCCCAGAGGGACAATTCCTACCTGCTTAAGCTGCCAGGAGGCCAGCCAAGTACCCTCTCTACCCATGCTCATTAGCAAAGGTCTAAATATCAGAAGGTGCCAATAAATTATGGCTCTGTTCTCAAGATAGGTCAACCAAAGTCACTAATATAAGCAAATTTCACCAGACACCAGAAAACCGCTTTGGGAAAGAAAGCGAAAAGTGGCCAGAACATTGCCCCAAGCTTGCTGGAAGGGCCTTCAGGAATCCCTCCTGTCTCTGTTGACTTTTTAGTTGCCAAAAGAGGGTGATGCCAGCTCTGTGGCTCAGGACACAGAGGCAGTTAGAGGCTCCTAACCTCAGGCAGAGGACTCGGCACAGTGGGATAACATCGAGTCACTGCGGGGCAGGGAATAAAGGGGACATAAAGGATGAATGGCTCTGCTCTTGGCACCCTGAATTCCTACCTCATTGTGAGGAAAAGAATCCCAGGACACTCTGACCCACGCCCTGGTGGGTACAACACAGGGTGAGGGGGAATGGCATGAACAGGGAACGGAGTGGGGTCATCCTATGCAAACGTAGGGAGGTAAGAAGGCCCATGGACACAGGGCCAGCGGGGCTGGGGCAGCCAGAGCCAGGCTAGAGCAGTCTCTTCACTCCATCTTCTCCATTCCGCTGTCTGATTCCAGAATTCAGGCAAGCCACCAGTAAGTTTCTAAGGCTATCTATGGGGGGTGAGATTTTTTTTACTCAGAAACATCTATCTGCTATCTCCTGGGTTTCACATCCCCATAGAAAAGTGAGGGTAAGAAGAAATGGAAGAGAAAAAAAAAACTAACAAAGAAAAAGTCTTGTTTCTTGCCTGCCTCCCTCCCACCCAGAGGCGATTTCAGCTTCTGATGTTGTTCAGGAAAGTTCCGGAAGGAGGGGAAGCTGGTCAGCAACAGTCCACTCACCTGCCCAGGACCCGTCAGGCACTGCACAGCCTGCTTGTGGGTGAGGCCGCACAGAATCACTCCATCCACCTGCAGGAGTCGGTCACCTGGGAAAGGGATAGATGTCATGTCATGACCTGGTGCTTGAGGCTGCAGGAGGTTCCCTTCCAGGAGGCCCCTGCCCGGCACCCCTCCATGCAGCCTGGAGAAGTGGGAAAGGAAGCTGAGGTGCCAGGTGTCCCCCTGGAGTCAGCAGGAATCCTGCCTCTCTGAGCAGTCTCACTCCCTTCTTCTCAGGCACATCACAGATCAGGGATATAAAAGCCTTTCTATTATTGGCTCACAGAATGGTTGAGCCAGCTCTGTTCAACCTTATCCTTCCTCCTGTTTTCCTGTGAAACCATTTTTGGAAGTATTTTCAAGTCACTTAGATATTTATATCTCCAGCATGTATTTTTTTTATTTCAAAAAAAGGTCAGGGAGGCATGGTTGACGCTGGGGACACCAGAATTCTAGGGGAAATGGAGATAAGTAAGATCCTAGGTTCCCCTTTTGGCTCAATTCTGGCAGTTTTGGAGACCAGTAAAAATCACCCCCTTCCATCAGAGAAGTGGGAGCTGAGCAAGGGCAAACAGAAGGCTCAGGTGTCCTCCCCGGATGTGCGAGTGAGTTTACCGAGGCCCACTTGTCCTCCAAGGGAAGCAGTATGTTTTCCCATGGAGGCCAAAGAGCAACACAAGTCTTTTAAGTCTTCTACTATTTTTCTATCACCTATGCTTCCCAGTGTGCCACTGCAGACCCCCCAACCTATCAAATGGGCAGGGCAGGTTCTATCACCTCCTTTCCAGGTGAGAAAAGTATGACCTGGGGAGGCAATCATTTGCATGAGTTTTCAGAATGGGAGCAGGGCAAGGCCTAGAGGCTGCCCCTCCCAGTGCAGGGCTCTTTACACCATGGAGCACAGAGTTCCCAATGAGGACCCATCCCCATCTCTCACCCTGTAGGATCTGCCCTTCCTTGGCAGCTGGTCCTCCAGGAACAATGGATTTCACATAGATACCACCATATGGCACACTGGTGTTAATGCCACCCTGAAAAACACAACAAAAAACTCACCACCCATCTTTCCTCCTCCAGGAAGCCTCCCCAACCTCCCCAGCTAAGGGAATCCCCACCTGCCCACCACTCTATCCCATGACCTTACCTCCGACTGGCACTGTCTTCTGTATTCACCTGTTCGTTTAGATTGTATTCTCCACTGAGCAATAAGATTAGGTGTTCATAAGCTTAACAATAGCAACTATGTGAGAGATCTGGGCATGTCCCCAGCCCAAGCACTGGTACAAGGCGGGTGCTCAGCAACTGCTCACGTGGGATGCACCACTATCTCTATATAGGTAGTGACCAGCGTAGGTGGATATGGCTGTGGGCCTGAAGGCTTGTGCCTGGCACGTCTTGTGTGCTTTGATGGGCCAAAGGATATGTGCATTTTTCATTATAATACATGTTGCCAGATTGCATCCCTATGTGAATATGGATATACTTATTCACATTTCTACCAGCTTTGTATGACAGTACCATTTTTCTACATTCCACCAGCTATATTTGGCCAAGCTGGTAGACATAAAGTTTAAAATTTTATTTTAATTTAATTTGTATTCCTGTGGCTTTTCACGGGTTTGAGTGTTTTTCATGTGTTTAATGGCCATTTGGATTTGAGTGAGACATTTCAAGAATTATTTTTGAAATTAAATATCTGCAAAGAAAATCCAAGTTTTTGCCAGCCAAAGGAAATCATCAACCTCTTCTCAGCAAATATATATTTGTGAATAACCCAAAATTTAGTCAGTTTTTCAGATGAAAAATAGCTATGTTTGGTGTCTGATAAGGCTGTTACCCCAAGCCAAGAATAAATGGACCATATTTGGTATCAGCCTGTTCACTCCATGTGGATTCATGAGCCTTATTGCTTGGTTTCTTACTTGGTCCCTTAAAATCATCTACTGATGACAAATTCATTGCAGGCTTAGGGTCCAAGAAAACACATATTCTTGCTCTAGGTACATAGCATTATCACAGGGGAAAGCAAAGAATGCCCTCCATTCACATATCTCTTGAATTTCCTCTGAAAATTTTCATCAGCCATAGAGTGTCCTTACTTTGGTGGGAGATGTCATTCTATTTCCCATCAACAGTTAAATCCAACAATGACATTCCTGAAATCCAGACCCATTCCAGGGTCTGAAGGTAATGGATCACTTTTTTTTTTTTTTTTTTGAGACAGAGTCTCACTCTGTCGCCCAGGCTGGAGTGCAGTGTTGTGATCTCGGCTCACTGCAAACTCCCCCTCCCAGGTTCACGCCATTCTCCTGCCTCAGCCTCCCGAGTAGCTGGGACTACAGGTGCCCGCTATCACATCCAGCTAATTTTTTTTTTTATTTTTTAGTAGAGATGGGGTTTCACCATGTTAGCCAGGATAGTCTCAATCTCCTGACCTTGCGATCCACCCGCCTCGGCCTCCCAAAGTTCTGGGATTACAGTCATGAGCCACCGAGCCCAGCCTGTAATGGATCACTTTCAATACTCAGTAATAAAAGCAGCACCTTCCAACCTCTGACCTCTGGATTTTCACCAGCTTTGTGTGTGCCATTCCCCAACCCCTTGGGTAAACACAGTTATATGGGTAATCTCCTTTCACAAGGGTCTACCAGGCAGAGCTCAGAAACCAAATGGAAAGTGTCAGTCCTGATGGAGGCCTGGCCCTGGGATGTCTGAGCAAGAGGCTCCACACTGATTCTATGCTGGATGACAGTGGACTGCCCCACCCATCCTTGGCCAGATGACAGTGGACTGCCCTTCTTACCTTTAGCTTGTGTCCCTGAAGCCCCAATGTGCTTCTCTCTCTCTGCAGTCCAGCTTGACCTCAGAGTCAGGACACATCAGCCAACTCTGCCCACACTGCCTCCTCATGAGTTTGGAGTCCCCTAGTGCATGCCCTGCTCATCCTGAGGTTCCCCAGTACCTCTGTTTGTCTCTGAACTCATCCCCCAGTGCAGGCCCCCACTGGCTTTTTTATTTACCCCTTACATTTGTGCAAACTAAGCACACTGTCAGAGGTTGCCATCTGGGTGGAATGGCCACCAGGTTCTAGACGGACATCTTGTTAACTGCTTTTCAAGCTCTCCTAAAAACTCTTACAGTTACACTGAATCCAAGTGTCCCATCTTCTTTAACCAGTTCCACAAAGTAGATTTCACCAGCACTGATTTCTGGAGGTGATGGAGGACAAGAAGAACCAGCACCCTGCCATAAACAAACAAACAAAAATAAAGATGGGATGAAGGAAGATGTCACCTCTTAGCTCATACTGCTCTCAGGAGCAGGCAGCATTGCACCTCAGAAAGATCATGAGCTTTGGATTGGGCCAGCAGGGGATTCATTTCCAGCTTTATCAGGCCTTCTGCATGTGACCTCAGACAAAGCAGGAGGAAGATGAGGGAGTGATGGGCTGGGCTGATGCCACTTCTAGGCAGAGAATGCTTGGGTCACTGTTCATGTTCTGCTGTCCCTCTGCCTAGAAGATGGGGTCTTTTGTCCTGTCTGCCCCCTTTACTTAGTGCTTTCTAATCACCATGAATGTTAGAAAATTCTAACGACACGCAGGAAAATAGACAAGCTGGAGGAAGCTGAACAACGAAGCCTCAACTGCTGAGGTTGAGACCTGAAGTGAGAATCTAAAGTCCACCATACCACAGAGGATCATCTGGCCACAAAGTTGGCCAAGAGACCCAGAAGAGCCTGCAGCATCTGGGTTGGGTCCTACAGCCTGCACCATGGTCAACGTGGCCTTAGAGCTCCCTTGCTCCCCTCAACGGCCCCCAGCCCCAGGAAACCAACTCTCAGGTTTGCCACCAAAGAAGCCCCAGCGTGAAGGCCTCTCTGCTCTGCTTCCTGCCAGAGAGGACCTACCAGAGGAAGGCCTGGGGTGAAGGTTTCTGCTCTGGAGGCCAATCCGAATCCCAGCTCTGTCCCCTGCTCCCTGAGAGAGCTTGGGTGTGCTCCTTTGCTCTTTCTGTCTCAGATACCCCACCCATAAAAGGGGTTGATAATAGGAATGATCTCATTGGGTTACCATGGAGCTTCCATGAGCTAATACATATAAAGTGCTCAGGACACTGCCTGGCACACAGGTAAGCACTCAATTAATGGCAGCTACTATCGTTGTTCTTCCACTGGCCTCCTGCATCCAGTTCCTCATGGGATGTTCTGTCCAGGTGAGCACCATGGCCAATTAGGAAGGCACTGTCATTCATGGAGCCCTATTGCATGCCAGATCCTTGTGACAGAGGTCAAGACACACTACCCCAAAATAGGGCACCTTGGCACATTGGAGGAATTGGAGAAACAGCACATGAGGGAAGGTTTCTCTGACCTTCCCCTGCCCTTCTCTTCTGAAGCAGGCCCTAAAACCTAGGAAGGATTTTCTAATCTTCCCCCGAAGCAGGGCACAAGACCCTCAAGTGAGAATGCCCTCCCTATATCTGGAAAAATGGAGCATCTTATGTGGGAAGACACAGGGACTGAGAGAGGAATCTGAACAAGCAGGCCTTGCTGAGTTCCTCCCACCTTACATACTCCTGCTTTTTGTCTTATCTCATTTCTCCATGACTCTCCATTCTTCATCAAATATACTCAGGGAGAACTGTTTCTTCAGGTCATTTCCATAAGAAGGCTCACATGTCACATAAAACTTATAGTAAATACACGTGGATGCTTTTCTCTCATTAATCTGTCTTTAGTTACAGGGGTCCCAGCTGATGAAGCTAAGATGAGTAGAAGAAAGATACGGGTTTTATCCCCGACACTGGGCATAGTACCTTAGTTTCCACGGCTGTGGACAGACATCATTATCTCCATCATAAAAAGAGAAACGAGGTTGAAAGAGGTGCAATAACCTGCCTGTTTCAACCAGCAAGTTGTCCCAGCAAGAATGAGAAGGGCATACACTCAGCCTGAGTAAGGGAGGATAGGTCGTGGGAGACCTGTTTTCAAAGGTCTTGCCAGCCTTTGGAGAAACCAGTAATATCAGTTCAGCACCTGGGGCTGGAAACACTGGGTGCTGTGACCACCCCTGAGCCTGAAGGGCGAGAGAAGGGAGTGGTCGATGGACCCTGATAGGAGCTGTGCTCTTTGTAGAGGGGCACAGGCAACCTGTGTCAGCACAGGGAAAGAGTGGAATGAAGGGTGTGCAACTGAGACTCCAGCACTGCCACCCTGTCCTCACTCATCCCACAACTGCGGGCTCCTGCTGAGGCTTCGACTGGGCAGAACCAAGCAGAACACAGCAAGGTGACTCAGTCCATGAGCACCAGCTGTGCAGGGCCCAGAGCAGAATGGAGAGGCTGGGGCATGGGTCTGGCGGGGCCTGAGAAGACAACACCACTGGGAATCCAAAGAGACGGCAGAGGACAGCAGAGCTGGGACTGAAGCACACAGCCCTCCATACACCTACTCCAGATCCCATCTTCTTCCTCCATGGGGTATGGTCAAGAGCAAAGCCACTGAGTTCCCAGCTTGAGGACCAATTCAAGGACAAGAATAGGAGGTGCCTGGTTGCCCACGCCTTGCCATTGGCAGCAATCAATTTCCTCATGGTGCTATTATCACAACAATTATAATTAGTGACTAAAGACTCCAGAGGCACCCACACTGAGCCTGTGCCCAGACACTGTCCTAGAACTCTGCCTTCTTCTATGCGTTTTTCTCAACAACCATGCCATGCAGGCATTTGCTTCTGTATGCAAATGAGGAAGCTGTGGCTCAAAGGGGCTAAGTAACTTCCATCCACCTGACATGGAAAACAGAGAACAGGAAGGGCCTAGGGGCCAGGCTGTTGGGCTTCACAGTCTGTTCTCTTTCATCCAGATCTAGAAAGTAAACCAAGGGATGATTACCTTTAACGGCAGAAAGGAAAGCTGATGTCTCAGCCTGGGCACTAAGCTCTGCACCCCAGCCATGTCTAGTTCTTCAGTATTTCTGTCCTGGTCTTGTGTGTGTGACAACAAACTTCCCTGGTACCCGAAGCTCAGGATGTCTGTAGAGGAGACCCCAGAATTGGCTGTGCTATTCTTTTCTTCATCTGGGTTATTTCCACCAACACCTATAAAAACAAGCCAAGAAAAAGTCAACAGCTTAAAAAGGCCGGTTTCTTGGTGGCATCTCTATGTGGGCACAGCGTTTTCCTCCAGTGACAGAGTGATCGTTTATAGCTGCTCGGGTACAATATGAATTTAGCTCCTCCTGAAAGATGTTACATTTAGATTAGAGAAAGGGAAGATTCTACATGGGATTTAGAAACCTAGATAGAGCTTACGTGACCCAACTATGAATGCGTAGGCTCAAAAGAAGTTCATAAGGCCAGCTATCCCTTATTAAGCTCTAGCCATGTGATGGGCACCTTAGATATACATATAGGAAGATATGGACATCTTCCCATCTTCTCAGCAAACCCACCAGGAAGGTGTAATCCCAGTTCAAACATGAGAAAACAGAGTCAAAGCTATTAAGTGTCCTGCCCCAAATGCTACAGCCAGCATGTGGGAACTGTCTTAAACCCAGCCTCTCCTGGACACCCCACTGAGCACATCTGCAGCCACCATGTGATCCAAAAACCAACGTATCAGGTCCTTTTGGGAGGCTTGGTAATAACCAAACTGCAGGCCCCTGTGAGTGAAAGCTAGGCCACTGATTCCTGCTCACCCTGTGTCTGACTCGTGACCTGGCATAGAACAAAGAAAAGAACGTGAGGTTGTGAATCAGTAGAAAAACCTTGGGCAAGGTGCTTAACATAACTGAACCTAAATTTTCCTGTATCTAAAGTAGAGATAATATCAATATCAATAATATTGTAGAGTTGGTGAGGCTTAGAGATTATACGTACAGAAAAGATTTTACATATGTTAAGAAAGATAAAAATATATATGTATATATGAAAGAATATATATTCCCTCATATATATATATATATATATGGCTCTCATACACACACACACACACACACACACAGACACGCACAGCTTAGTACATGGTAGAGCCTCAATAAATGTATCTACTGTTAACATGTTATTATTAGCTGCTCCACAAATATATGTGGGAGGAATGAATAACAGTTAGATTTTCTTTAGACCTGGATACAAGTAGATTTACTACTTTTGATACAGACTCATTAACACTCAGGGAAGTGCCCAAACTCACATGCTGAATGAATTCAATTTAAATAAATCTGATTTAATGAATTTGATTTGAAGTTATTCAAATCTAAAGGTATCCAGCAGGGAGTGGCAGGGCCACTGTTTCATAATGCTGTATTTCTGGCCCTTTCATTCACAGATTCTGTCATCATTGTCCTTCTGGCAGTGTCATAAGCATCGGCTCATTCTCTTCCACATCCTCCATGAGAGGTGAGGATGGGACTTACGATTGAAATGAAAAGTCAAACCATGCTGCAACTGGTGTCCTGCCTAGTAGACATATGAGCTGGGAGACCTTTTTTGGTAAAGGAAACTCAATTTATTGTAGACCATGACAGATGCTCATGATGGACATTTTATCTGTCTGATCCTGATCTCCAATCTAGCCCAGCTGCCTTAACAGCAGCCTAAAGAGATAGAAGAAAGTCATGGTAGTCAAGTCTCTGCCACGGAGACCCAGCCAGCATCACCAAGGAAACATCTTCCTCTGGCAGTGGCCCAGCTATGAGGAAACCCCACCATGATGAAGGCAGCATTGCCAAAAGGTGGCTGGGGTGCCACAGTGAAAGGACATTTTATTCCCAGCCATTGTGGGAAACTCATTGTCTGGAATTCTAATGTGAGGTTGTGGTTTGAGAATAGCAGACCTCGAGTACTGCTTTTTGACAACCTCCATCACAGCAGGCCATCCTTGGACTATGCTGAATTGTGATTTGGTCACCTGCATTGTGTTTCCTGACAACACATGGGATGGTTTGACTGCTCCTGTCAGTGGAGGATGTGGAAGAAAACACAGGGATTGCTGAACCACTGCAGAAAGGAGAGCAGTGGTGCTGGGAAATCCAACAGACAGCAAGCCAGAGACTGGCATTGGAGATGTACTGAGGCCAGTCCCTGAGAAGGCTTCAACCCCAGGATGAAGGGTGTGGGGCTGAGACCCCAGCATGGCCACCTTCCACCACCCATAGCTTCTGGACAGGGGAGCTGCATGGCACTGTGTACAGGTACAAGAGTGAGAGAGCATGCATGCAGAAGTGTTCAGAAGGCAAGGCAAATGCAGTGCCTGCATTTAGTACCTAGAAAATGCTGGCTGGTGTGACAGGAAGTTCTCCTGTATACAAGGGAAAACTGTACAACACCCCTCAAGTGTGAAGAAGCAATCATGAGCCTGAATTTGCAGGCGGTCTGCTGTTAGTTTACAGGATCACCCAACCAAAAAGCAGCATTGGTCTCAGGAAACTAGGGAGAAGGGATGTTAGCCTACTCCCATTACTTCCTCCAGGCTCCTCAAGCTTGGTCCCGATAAAAACAATAGTATTTTCCTTTAATATAGGCAGTTGTTGCTCTCTCATTCTTATCTAAAGGATGAAGAAAAGCATCATCAAAAAGTACTTTACTCTTTAGGTTGATCAGGAACATGCACATCAAGTAAGAAGAGCGAGCTTGCCACGAAAATTCAGCTTTAAGAAAAGGCCAGGTGCAGTGGCTCATGCCTGTAATCCCAGCACTTTGGGAGGCTGAGGCGGGCAGATCACTTGAGTTCAGGAGTTCCAGACCAGCCTGGCCAACATATTGAAACCCCGTCTCTACTAAAAAATACAAAAATTAGCCGGGTGTGGCAGCGCGTGCCTGTAATCCCAGCTACTCAGGAGGCTGAGGCAGGAGAATTGCTTGAACCCAGGAGGTGGAGCCTGCAGAAAGCCAAGATCGTGCCATTGCACTCCATCCTGGGTGAAAGAGTGAGACTCCATCTCAAAAAAAAAAAAGGAAAATCAAATACCGCATGTTCTCATTTACAAGTGGGAGCTAAATAATGAGAACCCATGATCACAAAGAGGGGAACAACACACACCAGAGCCTACTTGAGGGAGGAGGATGGGAGGAGAGAGAGGATCAGGAAAAATAACTATTGGGCACTATGCTGAGCACCTAGGTGATGAAATGGTCTGTATAGCAACCCCTGTGACACGAGTTTGCCTGTAATAACAAACCTACACATGTAGCCCTAAACCCAAAACAAAAGATTAACAAAGAACAGTGCTTGTCTCCTCCCCAGCTGATTGCTATACCTATACAAAATATAGAAATTTTGTATAGGATTCTATACAAAATATAGAAATCCTGGAGCCGACCCTATCAACAAGGACTTTGGGTGGCAATAAAAAGGTCCTCCCTGCCATGCAAGGAGAGTTGACAGAAAAAAAAAGACTGGTTGTATCCAGCCGTGTCTAACAAAATTAGAGTAGGTTACTCCCTTTCAGCAAGACAAGCATGGTAACGCCCATTCTGCCCCTGAAATTGCAAAGCTTATTAATTTGTGCCACTACACTGCTTCTTTGCAAGCCAACACCATGAGGAAAGCAATATAGAAGACCTACGTGGACTTCAAGGTCTAGTACCTCACAGTAATCATGTACTCCTGAAAACAGGGGAGCCTCTTAAGCTCCCAAGAGTGGGTTAAAACATACCTTTTGACTGAGAAATAATTAATTCTATGTTGTCAGGGGAATTCTGGATCATCCTAACAGCCATGTTGAATGTGAAGCCCTCCAGACTGATGTGATTCAGGGCTAGTATCTGCCCTCCTAGAAAAATAAAACATCTCAATAATCCTTCAAGGAAATAAAAAAGAGTGGTTTCTTAAAACAGCATCTCTAGTAATTTAAAAAGATGTACCTGGTTTGATCGTTTTTGCTTTTTCTGCTGGTCCTCCAGGTATAATAGAAGATATAAAAATGCCAGGGTCAGCTTGGCCTGAATACTCTCCCTCATTAATGACAAACCCTGTAATCCAAGATGATAGTCCATGATAAGATGATACTTAGTGATTTTGCTGTTCAGAGAGGTTAGGTTATTTCCCTCATATCACACAGCTACCAAGTGGCATTAGCTGATAGTTACAGTCAGGTCTTCTGATCCTCAAATAGAGGATCTTTTCTACTTTACCATGATACTTGGAGAAAGGTGGATTGTTCCCCATTAGTAAGCACAGCTAAAGCTAGGAATACAAACCACCAATATGCACTGGATTTTGCTCCAGTAGATAATGAGACATAGGAAAGAAATGATTTTTAATCAAGTACCTTGTCTCCGTACCTTGTTTCTTCTACAGTTTTTCGGGTCTTAGAAAGTGGTCACTAGTAAGAGGTGAGATAAATTGACTCTTCTTCCCCATAGCTGACTAGAGGAATGTTGTTACATGGTATTAGGGGAAAAAATCTTTTTCTGCATTGTACTTAGATGCACCCCAAAAAGAAAAACTTGGAAACAAAAGTCCCATTGCTCTTTAGGAACAATTAAAGGGAGAAAAAAAACAGAAGTGATTACCAGAAAAGGCAGACTGGGAGAGGAGGGATAGGAAAGGGGAGTAGGCAAGTTGAAAGGGAAAACAGTACCCACCTCCCCACTTTGCCCAGCAGTAGAGACTGGGCCTCACCTACAGGGAGCCCTCTTACCAAAACCACGATGTGGGTCACGTTTCAGTGTCACACGTACAATTTCTCGGCCCGGTTCAGCTATAAAGCTCTTCCTCCTATTATTCTTTGAGCCTAGAGGTAGAATCAGAGCACCACATTGTGCTTTTCCCCCAAATTATTTGGGAGCTAATACAAAAGGAGTAAACAGCATTTCACACACATGCGCGCACACACATTCACACGCACACAATCCTGAAAACAAAAGTAGCTCATATTTAATCTCCCAGCAGTGCTGGGAATGGACACCTGAACACACACTCACATGAGCCTCTCTGGAGTGTCACTCAGTGTTGCTCAAGTTCCAGCTTAAAGAGCAGAGGCAAGAACAGGATGGGCTATGGTGCTTGTTTTCTGTATGACTTACTGTAGCTATTTTTTTCCGCATTGGTTTTGGGACAAGACAGAGGATGAGCAGAGATGTATTAATAATTGCTGAGAGTCAAAACAAAAACAAAAGCTAAAACAGAGGTGAGACAGTAAAGCCTTCCCATCCCAGGCCTCAAATAACCAGGGGTGACAAGGTGCCAGCAGCCCAGCCTGTGTGACCTGTGGTCTTCCCCTGGCTTGGATCATGGAGGAGCCCCAGGCAGAGCCCTGAAGCTGTTCCTGGAGAGCTGGAGTCCTGGAGTGGGGCACTTCAGTGTGTGCCACAGTGTACTTGGGAAAATCCCCAAATGGTGACCCACCACTTCAGTCCTTCCATGTCTCTCCCTCCCCCAGGGACCTTGGCAGAAATTGGCAGACAAGTTACTTGTAAAGAGTTGCCTGGCAGTTTTCCTGATTGATATGGTTTGGCTGTGTCCCCACCCAAATCTCAACTTGAATTGTATCTCCCAGAATTCCTGCATGCTGTGGGAGGGACCCAGGGGGAAGTAACTGAATCACGGGGGCTGGTCTTTCCCATGCTATTCTCGTGATAGTGAATAAGTCTCACGAGATCTGATGGGTTTATCCGGGGTTTCCGCTTTTGTTTCTTCCTCATTTTTCTCTTGCTGCCATCATGTAAGAAGTGCCTTTCACCTCCCACCGTGATTCTGAGGCCTCCCCAGCCATGTGGAACTGTAAGTCCAATTAAACCTCTTTTTCTTCCCAGTCTTGGGTATGTCTTTATCAGCAGCGTGAAAACGCACTAATACACTGATCCAACCCTCAGGCTTAATGCTCACTGAGTAGAGATATTTTTCCAAGTGTCGGATCTCTTTGTCCTCACATTCAACAGGGAACTGGCCAGGAGGATGCATGGCTGAAGGGACTGCCATCTACTCTGTGTATGTTTTCTGGTGAATACTGGGAGGTGATGTTCTGGCCTGCATAAAGAAGCATATCTACAGTGAATGGTGCCTTTTTCTGAACACACCCTCCATAGCAGGTATTCTTCCTTCTGGACAAGAGTGCTGGGATTGTCTTCGCCAGAGCTGACACATTTCAGATCCTCATACCCAGCCAAAGCTAAACGCCTCTTCCCAATCACAAGTAGTTTAAAAAGAAAACAATTCAAAAAACAAGAAGGTTACAAACATTGTGTGGGAAGCAAAAATAAGTGGTGGTAAAAGACTCAAAGCAAGCTTCCTGCGTAGGGGTTCCTCCACCCAAGACCTGGTCGTGGCCTGGCCCATACCTGCATGCATGCTCTGAACAGGTGGTCCAGAGAGAGAGTCCCAGGTCATTGGCTTCTGGATCACACAGGCACTCTTCAGCTGCTCCCGGCCAGTGCAGGGGCTGCCGGGAAAAGAAAATGAGGTTAGATAAGGTGGCCCACGGGGAAGGACAGTGAGGTTAGATAAGGTGGCTCAGGGAGGCAACTTCTTGGCATTTCTGAGTATGGATGATGGCCCGGGGAGGGCAGCCTTGTGTCCAGTCATCCAGCAGCTCCTCAGAGGGACCCCATCGAGGGCTGATCTAGTTATTAGGAGGACACTGGGAAAAATGGCTGTAGGATCTTTATGTCTCAGAGGGGACACTGAGGTAACTCTGGCTTCATATGAGCCTCCTACTATGTGCAAGATACGTGATCCTGTAAACCTCCATTTTTTCAACCATAAAATAAGAATAACATTCCTACTTCCCAGGCTTCTAAGGGAACTGAAATGAGATAGTAAGTGTCAAACACCAGCACTCTTAGTGGATACTGATGTTTTGTCATTTGCTCCTGTTTTCAGCTGGAGGCCTTCAGGCAGGCCAGGCACCCTCCACACCCCACCTACCACATGCTCGAGAGCTGCACAGGGTCACTGACCTGCTTGATCATTGTACATGTTGTGTTGGGTGCCGCCTGATCATACCATGCTGTGAACAAGAAGCATTCATGCAGGCATTCAACTGGCCCTGACGGAATATGCCTCATGCTAGTAAATAATGTACTAGAGCCTAGCAGAATAATGAGTCAAGGGAGATGTTGCCACAGCCCCGGGGTCAGTTCTGCACAGAGATAAGCTACATTCAGAGGTGAGCAAAGTCTAGATTGAGAGGGAACAATTGATGTAAAGCTGTGGGTCTCAGAGCCCTGGAAAAAGCCAGCTCTGGGACTCCTGGACAGCCAAACATCTGAGCAGATTCCGCTTCCCTGGTTACCCAGACTGACCCCCACCCCTCAGAGCCCCACAGCAATCTCACAGCTTCAAGCAGCTGGACTATAGCAGGGGTCGCTGGCATGGACAGTTACCCATGGATCCACCCCCTGTACCCTTGGAGCTGTGACACCAGGGCTCTCTCTGCAGGGAGCTTGGCACTGTGCAAAGAGGCTGCAGCCAGAAAGGGAAGAACAGGGGCGGTGGGGGGAGGAGAAGTCCAGCCTCACAGTGAGGTGCAGCACAGAGTAGCTTTGGAGACTGGCGACAGATGAGGCCTCACTCTGACTTGGCTCATGTTTGTGCTTGCCTTGCAGCACGATCGACCCACAGTGACTGAGAACCCCAGGTGTCAGGCCTGAGCTCCAAGGCACTGAGGGTAAAGGGTGGGTCAGGCATGGGCCCTGTCCTCTGAGAGTCCCCAGCCTGCTGTGGGATGCAGGGTGGATGACTTTCATGCCTCCTAGAGCCAACCAAGGTGCCCAGGGAGAGGCTGCGACAGGGCGCTCGTGTGCTCAATGGATGGAGAAATCCCCACAGTCTGGGAGGAGCCGAGAGAGGCGATGATGCTGAGGTGGCCTTCAGGTGGCCTTTACGGAAAAGGAAGGGCTTTTCTGGGCCTGGGTTTTTATGACCCATGTGATCTGGGCCACACATGCAACCCTTTACTGCTTAAAAGCCAATCACTGCCAGTCACAAAAGGATGAAATGTGAATGATTCCACTCATCTGAGGAACCTGGAGCAGTCACATTCATAGACCAGGAGGAGCACGGCAGCGGCCAGGGGCTAGGTGGGTGGAATGGGAGTTGTGTCGAATGGGTGCAGTTTCAATTTGGGAAGACGGACAGAGCTCTGGGGATGGACTTTCGTGATGGTAGCACAACATCATGAATGGACTGCGTGCTACTGAACTGACAAGTGGTTAGGATGGTAGGTGTTATATTATGTGTATTTTACCACCATTTAAAAACATTTTAAACGTGAACTTTAAAAAAATCCATTTACTGAAAGCTTTCCCTGCCAGCCTCAGAGCCAAGGATATACCAGGCACATTGCTGTTCTTGAGAAGTTCCATGTTTCACAGCACAGACAGGAGCATGTGGGTGTCAGGGTGGAGGGGACAGAGGGTACTGCCCTAACTGGAGCCAGCGATGTGGAGGAGCCACACCTTCACCTGAGGCAGTGGCGAAAGGCTTCAGAAAAGCAGTGATGTGAAGTCAGAGGCCACCTCTCAGGAGTGGGAGGGCAGGCAGGAGCTGTACCTCACGGCAGGCAGCCACTGGCACCACGTGCTGTGTAAACAACTGCTCAGGAATGCCACTGGCGATGGGGTCCTGCCTCCACATGTCAGCCTTCCCTCCTGTGGTCATATGCCCAGGCTTAGGCCAGCGGCATGACCCACATCTTTCCACACAGACCCCATGTGGGCCACCTCTCCGCTGGCCTGTGAGCTCATGAGGTGGGGACCACATCTGTCATGCTCACCACCGAATCCTCCACACCTGGCCCAGGGCTGGCACACATTAGGTGCTCAATCCATTTTTCTAGTAAGACTAAGGAGGCCCTTGCTCATGGCATTCCTTCTCTTCCTCTCACGGTGCCCAGATCCTATTCATCAGTCAAGACCTGATGCCACATCTCCCAAGCAGCCGTCCCTGGTGCCCTTGCTTGGAAATTGCTGCGCCGTTCATGGAGCCTAACACTGTGTTCGAGACCAGCATCAGGGCAGTCACCACAGACCAACCCATATTCAGCTTTTATAACATGATTTAATTCCCACAGCCACCCAGTGGGGAGGGATGACTATTACTACCACTGGATGAATGAGGAAACTGAGGCCTGGGGTGTTGAATAACTTCATTGAGGTCACACAGCACTAGACCACGGAGCAAGTATTGGCAAAGGACTTCCATGATGCGGGGCTTGATCCAGAACCCTGTCAGAAGGGGCCCCCGGCAGAATGGCCTCTGTACCATGACAGAAACTCTAAATGTCTCAACTGCATCACTGTCATGGACTTTGGCCCACCTCAGACTTCAACTGCAGTGGTGGGGGGCAGTTCCATGAGAGCTCAGGCTCAGCTGAGCTGACAGCATCCTGGCTCAGGTGTGGCCCTCTTTCTGCTCTAGAGATTCTTGTCCATCTTGGGAGCCGTCTCCTCCACCCCCACTATTCCCACCTTACCCAAAAGCATGGGAGAGTCCAGGCCTCCCATCCTTTGACCAAAGGGAAGTAGGAGCCATTACATGGTGTTTGCCTCCTGTCCTGCAGTTCTAGGAGGCCTCTGCACACCTCTGTGGAGCTGAGCCCTGGTTGCCCTCAACAGCTACCTGGTGACCCCTACCCCTGTGACCACACTTTGCCTGCTTCCCCAACTCCCTCTCTCTCTCACTCCTTCTTGGCATCACCTCCACAAAAACATACCCGCACCCAAACCAGTGTCTCAAGCTGTGCTTCTTGGAGGTGGGGTGAGGGGAATCTTCCAAGAACTCAAAAGCCTAGTAATTAGGTTTCCCTTTTCACCCACGGGTTACTGGTAACTTCTGATGTGAGTTATTAAGGGTCATGAAAATTTGGCATTTGTAAACCAAGATTAGAGTTATACCGAATATTACGGAGGGCGCCAATTCAGCTTTGTATCAAGAAGGCCAGCAACCATGCAACACTGAAAAGCCCCTACTGTGCGTGACCACTGGCCAGTCGCTGGAAGGGCCACCATTCTCAGAAAGGATGCTTTGCGGGCAACACATCCTCAAGATGGCCTTGAGTCAGTCATGGCTTCTTCTGCCTTTTAAACAATGAAGTGCTATAAGGTACCATTAGTTGGGTGACAAATGAAAGATGTTCACAAGGTCTTGGACGCTCCTACATCAAGAAGTGGAGACTATTTCTGCTCCCTTTGAATCTGTGCTGACCTGTGACTATTTTAACCAGCAGTATGGCAGGACTGACACCAGGCTAGCTTCAGGCTTAGACTTGAAGAGAACTGACAGCTTCTTTTTGGGATCTTGGAGCCCTCCTGCCTTGCAGAACCTTGCTGGAGACCCCACATGAAGAGGAGTCAAGACTACTCACGGAGAGAGAGGGGCTCCGTGAGCACTGCCTCCCAACCATCCAAGGAAGCAGCCTGTGAACAAAGTCGTCTTGCGTCCTCTAGACTAGTCCAGCATCTGCTGGACCCCAGACAATACCACATGAAACCCAGAAGAATCCCTCAACTCAGTCCTGCCTGAATTTCTAACCCAGTTCACTGTGAAATTTCTAATCCAGTTCATTGTGAAATGGAATAACACAATGGTCATTGTTTTAAGCCACTGTGCTTTGGGGTCGTTTGTTACACAGCAATAGATGCTCGAAACCGTTTTGCCTTACCACTGTTGATTTAGTTTGTGGTGCACGGCAATGTACATTTGCATCAACAGAATTGGGGGCAATAATTATGGATATAGATATAGGTATAGATATAGATACACACATAGACTTTCAGTTCAAATGAATCATCCATACCCTCTTGCTGAAGTAGCTGGAAAACTCATCCCAAAAAAACAGCTCCTGCAGCAACCTTCATTGGTCATATGCTGCCTGGGAATCTGTGCTATTTCTATAAATTGCAGTGTAAATGTAATCCAAGTCCTAGGCTATTTTTAAATTTATGAATCGTTTTGTCATGTGAAGTTGCATTTATAAGCCCACTATTTTTACATATAAATTTAAATGATAAGAAACTCATCAATAGGAAAGGTAGCGTGGTGTAGAGGTTAGGAGCTGGACTCTAAGGCCAGCTGCTTGTGTTCAAATCCTAACCCCTGGGTTTCCTCTCTGTGATGTGATGAGAACAACGGAAACACTTAACAGAGTCATAAGACTTAAATTAGTTGATATGTACACGTGCTCAGAACAGCACCTGGCTGATAATAAGGCCAAATAGGCTTATTGCAACTTGTTTATTTGTCCTCTCCAATTTCATATTGTCATCTAGTTCTTTCTTCACCAAAAGACGGGAGCATCATAGAAGGAGGAATGAGAGGTTGGCCCTAGAGTGTTTAACATAGACTTAGCCCATAGATGGCCTTCTGTAAATCTCTGTGGAATTGATTGACAGTTACCCAATAAATATACACTTTTCCTAGACATCTAACATCGTTTAAACAATTTCTTGGCCAGGCTTGGTGGCTCATGCCTGTAATCCTAGCACTTTGGGAGGCCGAGGAGGGTGGATCACCTGAGGTCTGGACCTCAGGTTGAGACCAGCCTGACCAACATGGAGAATCCCTGTCTCTACTAAAAATATAAAAATTAGCAGGGTGTGGCAGTGCATGCCTGTAATCCCAGCTACTCAGGAGGCTGAGGCAGGAGAATCGCTTGAACCTGGAAGGCTGAGGTTGCGGTGAGCCAAGATCACGCCACTGCACTCCTCCAGCCTGGGCAACAAGAGCAAAACTCAGTCTCAAAAAAAAAATAAAATAAATCTTCAGTACAGATCACTGCAAACCATCAAGCACATGGTGGTTTGGGCCCAGAGAACAAATGTGTCACACCCACCTGCGCCCGATGCCTTCTGCTCCAGCCTCCTTGCTGCCGTCCACGTTGAAGTTATCCATTGATGTACTCAGCAGGCCTCCTGCAGCACCCTGAAGCCTGGATACAAACAACTCGTTTTCTGAGCATGACAATCTCTGAATCCAAATGAGAGGCTTAGACCGGGCCTGGTGTGCAGGACTCAAATTGGCCATTTGCACAAACTTATCATGGTCTGAATTTGGGGAGAAAAACATAGACATACACACACACAAGAATGATGCTGGATCCATTGCTCTGGTGGTTGTAACATATCACTGGGCCCCCGCTCTCCTCCTCCTTTCTTTTTCTGCTGCTATTTTGTCTCCTGTGATTATCCCTGGGAATGCAAGGTCTCCTAATTAGCACTTGCTAATGAAAGAAACCTCAGAAACAGAAGAAGGAAGAGACGAGATGCTCTCTCTCCCCTTGCAGCTGACAGGACGCAGAGCCAAAGAGCCTGTTTAAATGGGTGCTAACCCTAGAGTATTTGCGGGTGTGTCGGGCTCCGGCCGAGCCTCCTGCGAAATCAGCTGCCCCATCCCCTTCTGCTTTCTGCTTTTACAGATCTGTCCTCCCAAACATTCTTGTAGCAAATGTGCCTCCAAATCTCCTGGGATCCCAAGATTAGGCTCTGCTCTGTGGAGTATAACCTTTAATCTCTACACAGCGTAGTTTGCCCTGGTAATCATATTTAATACAAGGTCCTATTTCCTGAAATATAATATGAGATGTGTTGGGTTCCCCCCAGCTTTGACACTTGCCTTTCTCCTTCCATGCAGAAATGTTTAATAAATAACTTTGATGAAGTCTTGAACTTAAGACCATGGATGTGATTAACTCCCCACTTCACTATTCACATTGATCATAAAAAAAATGGGATTTGAAAAATAGAGCTTTTAAGTTAATGAGGCTTTACATAAAGCCAAGTTAGTATTTTAAGACAGGAAAATGATGACTACATTCTGACCATCTGCGCCTTGCTAAAACCAAGAAGGAAAGAACGGTCAGACACATGGTAGTGGTGTGGCTCCTGGTTTCTCTGTGTGTGTATGTGTGTGTGTGTGTGCACATGCACTTCTAGAGCCTGGTGAAGTGCCTCCATTTCAAGGATATCCATGGGCATATATTTCTTCAAACAGACCCCCCTCTCTTCTCTACAATGGTGTCTGGTTCCCTGCCAGGGCTGTGCTTACTGAAAAAGCCAGCCTTTTAAAAAAAAACTTTTTGAGAATTTTCTGCATGCATGAGGCACTATGGTACCATCACTCACATACAGTAGGCAAAAAGCAATGAAGGAATATAAGTAAATTAAATGTGACCTGCAGCTTTTGCACAAATTGCATAGTATCTTACTCCATACAGAGCTTGGGCTTGCTCAGAAACAGCAACAACAGCAGTAATGTCAACATCAACTACTAATATTTGCTGAATGCTTACTATGTGCCAGGCGTGGTGGGAAGCACATTATCTGCATTGTCTCATTTAATCCTCACAATAACCCTATGGGGTAGATATTATTATACCCAATTTAAAGATCATGGAACTTGGGGCTAAGAGTGTGTTAATTATTTGCTCATGGTCCCAAAGCCAGTAAGTGGTAGGGCAGACTCACACTCAAATCTGCAGACTCCACAGTCCACGCTGGAAAATGGGGATGCTGAGGACACAAAGACAATGACAGCAGCAGGGGAGATTTATCTGAGACACACCCAGCCTTCTGTTTACCGGGGCCCAAAGGGAGAGTGACCTTAGACTTAATCATGATGGATATTAATACCCACAGGCGGATATTCTAGGCAGAGACAGTGGAGGCAAGGTCGCAGCTCAGAAAGGTTTAGCGAGTTTGAAGCAAGACTGTACAGAGACTGTGATTACAGGAAGGAGCCATCCCTTAGAGGCAGGGGACTCACAAAAGTTAGCAGAGGAGAGAGAGCTCAAGGGCCTGTGAGATGCTGGAGAGTGCCTGGAGCCTGAGGAGGAAGCTCAGTTAGCAGGAGAGGGGCTGCTTAGTGAGGTCAGGAAATGAGACCCTGGGTGTCAAGCACTCAGCATCAGGGACTCAGCCTACAGCTGTGGGCTGGTGGGGCTGCTGGTGAGTGCCAGTGTCATCGCCACGCCTCAGCTTCATGGGGCTGACTGGGTGGACAAACAGTGGAGGGGGGATTTGTTGGAAGGTGGTAGAGCCAAAAGTAGACAGCCTTTCAAGAATGGAAGGAAGCATTGCCACGAATGTCCCAAAGCCACTAGCAAGCTGAGGACAGTGGACAGTTTCTATTCCCTGCTGTGGGTGACTCATAGCATAATTGTGGCACTAGGGAAATAAGGCTGAATCCATCTGGATGTCAAGGGCAAAGTCCAAGTCACTTACAGTGTCATAAGGACACAGGATATACTCTGAGCCAAGGGCCACAAGGAAAAGACACCCAGGACAAGATTCTGGGCAGCTCACTGCAAATCTGCAGTCTTGCAGCCTTCTTGTGGAAGGGCTGAGACCAACCCTGTAGCCCCCAGACCACCCATGAGAAACAGCTGAGCAAAGGCCCATGGGCCCCACTCCACAGGGCTGACAGATCCTGCCTATTTAGTCCTGAAATTATGCATTTGTAAAAGCTCAGTGATCTATCTTTTCCCCCTACAGAACCAAATATAACTATAAAGTAATATGCTTATTGAGATAATTCACAGAAGAATGACTAAGAAGCACTTGGAAAGTGCTCAACTGCTCAAGAATCAAAGGACTGCAAAATAAAGCCACAGCGAGAAATCACTTTTACCTTCAAATGAACAAAGATAAACACGATGATATTTATTCCAACAAGGATGCAACAAAACAGGCAAGACAATACTGGGCTTGAGATTGGCACTTGGGAAAACAGCAGTAGTCTTAGAAAAATGCCCAGCACTGGTACCCAACAATTACACTTCTGAGATCTAGCTAAAAGAAATGATATAAAATATAGAAAAATATTTCTTCCAGTGATATTTATCATATTATTTGTAATACTTAAAAACAAAAAGTAAACTAAATATCAAAAATGGGAAGGGTTCAGTAAATTATTGTAATTCCACACAAATCATCCATTCGTTCATCAAAAAACATGTATTAACCACTTCCCATTTGACACACCACACCTCTGTTCTGTGCTGGAGCTGCTCTTGTGGAACTCCCAGTCCACTGCTGACTGCAGGCAGGCATATCCACAAATAAAAGTGGCAGAATAATACAGGTGAGAAGACAGAGGTCTGCACAGCAGAGGGAGTGGTCCATCCACCTAGGAAGAGCCACCTGGGGGCAGTCAATCAGGAAAGCCTTCAAGGATGAGGTTACCCTTAAGCTTATTTACAGAGGATCGGACTTATCTTGGTGGTCTGAGCCAGGAAGGAGTTAGGAACGTGCTGCAGGCAGAGGGTATGCTGGGCACAAAAGCCCTGGAAGCTGAGCCATCCTGGTGTGCTGAACAGCCTGCAAGCTGGCATGAAAAACAGCCAGAGACCAGAGAGGAGGAGTCAGGGCAAAGAATATGGCAGGACTGGGGACTGAGTGGGAAGTGTCTGGCATGCCATTCTAGAAGAAGTTTGAGCTTGTCCTTGCAGACAACAGAGAGCCATTAACAAGTTTTCAGCATGGAAGAAAATGACAGGATTGGTCCTTTTGAAAGGTCACTCTGAAGGCTGAGAAGGACAATTATCCAGGACAAGAGTACCAGCAGCAAGTCCATTATGTGACGTGCCTCCATTTCAAGGATATGAGATGTGTTGGGTTCCCCCAGCTTTGACATCTCTCTCTGTCTGTTTTTGGTGACAAGTGGGGTGGGAAGAGAGGGTGCAGGCCCAGACACTCCCAGTTTCCTGCAGGGAGGCTGGGTGACCACCTTTGTACAAGACATATCATGGCAAAGAGAGGTGTGTGAGAGGAAGAGATCAATTACGGATGCCCTGAGCTTGAGGGGTGTGTGGGACCATCAGCTGGAGGCGGTCAGTTCTCGGCTGCATGTAATCGCTGAAAAGGGTTACATGAATCTGCAGAGAGAGTTTCTAAAATGAAGAAATATTTTAAAAAGCAAGGGAACTTTGTCTAAACTCATCCTTTCAATGCAAATAAATGTTAGATTCCTAAAAACTCCTAAGACAGTAGAATGTGCAGTTTGAGAAAACAGCCTATTACAAGCCAAATAGGCCTGAAAGGACTAATTTTACAAGTGAGCTCATGAAATATTTATAAATATTTTACAGTCACTGAAATCAGGCAATAAAAGCAATATCAATGGTGTTTCACACACTGTTCTCAGCAATAGCAGGTAAGTCAGGTATAATTAATTTACATTTGTCATCTCCAGCTCCCTGGAAATATCCTGGAACCACCAGCCTGTGGTTTCAATGAAATGTTTATATGTTCATCTGGTTCTGCTGCAAATAATAAAATAAGCTACCATTATTTTCTGCATTTGGTTCTGCATCTGAAAGTTCAGCAATTTTGTTTCCCAGTTGACCCCAACTCCTGGGCCAGCCCCAGGACCCAATGACACAGCTCCCATATGAATTGGCTGGCACTGAACAAAACCCCCGTGAGCAGGAGCCACCATTACTACTCTCACACTGAGCACAGAACACCAGACACTGAGCTAGAAATGTTACACGCACACACCTTCCCACTCGAGCACAATACAAACCTACAGTACGGTCTGTGTGCTCCAATGAGGACACTCCAGCTCTGAAAGGGGAAGTGAGCTGCCCAAAGTCACACAGCTAGAAAGTGGCACTCCCCTGAGTCTACTGGACTCCACAGGCCACATTCCAAGTTAGTGTTTCTGAAGCTTATATGTACATTTAAATCACTTGGGTTCTTTTTAAAAGGCAGATTCAGATTCAGATGGTCTGGAGTGGGGACTGAGATTCTGCATCCTTTGCAAGCTCCCAGATGACATGCATGCTGCAGCTCCAGGAACCACGCTCTGAACATGAAGGGTGTAAACCACTATATTATATTGCTCCCTTTTATGGCCAAAGAAGAACTAATGCCTAGACATTGACAGCAGCTGTGGTAAAGCCAGTGCGCAGAACCAAGTCTCTCTAGCACTGAATTCCATGCTCTGGCTGGTTATGAAAGGCCATAGTACAGGCACTGGGCCCCAACAGCCACAGGTTCAAACCTTGGCTAGGCCCACCACCAAGCAGCCAGCACATTACTTAACTTTTCCAAGCCTCAGTTTGCTCCTCCCCATAATGCTGGTACCTGCCTCCTGGGGCTGCTTGACCAGGGCAGTTTGAGAAAACAGTAAATTATGAACATAAGGGAGGTAATTAGTGTAAGTACTTAGCATAACACCAGGAAAAATTAGTAATAACAATAGTAAATAGCTCCATAGCACTTCGTAAATGCTCCATAAATATTAACTTGTCTTATGTGATGTGTGCCCCATTTTAACCAATAGTCTTACTCTTAGTTATAACAATAATACACATTCATTGTTGTAAGTTTAATAAATATCAAAAAAGTATCACAGAGAAAACAGTCGTGCCTGCATGCCTAACTCCCAAAGGTAATAACAGTAACATTTTGGTGCAGTTCATTTCTGTATTCTTCCTTATCTTAAAACACAATATTAACCAAATTAGTGTTGTGTGTCTATCTATAACTATGCTATTCAATACAGTAGGCACATGTGGCCATTTAAATTTAAATATAAATGGAAGAAAATTAAATAACATTGAAAATTTAATCCCCCAGTTCTTTTTGCCACCTTTGAAGTGCCCAATAGTGTGAACAAATGTGAACCTGAAAGAGCCAGTCCCTCAAGATGGATTCTGAGCAGCTAACTGGGCCCAAATTTAAAATAGATTGCTTTGGCTATTCAGGCTCTTTTTAGGTCCCATATGAATTTTAGAATAGTTTTTTTTTCTAATTCTGTGAAGAATGACATTGGTAGTTTGATAGGAATAGCATTGAATCTGTAAATTGCTTTGGGCAATATGGTTATTTTTACAACATTGATTCTTCCAATCCATAAGCATAGAATGTTTTTCCATTTATTTGTGTCATCTCTGATTTCTTTCAGTAGTGTTTTGTAGTTCTCTTTGTAGAGATTGTTCACCTTCCTGATTAGCTGTATTCCTGGGTATTTCATTTTCTTTGTGGCTATTGTTTAAGTGGGATTGTGTTCTTGATTTCACTCTCAGCCTGAGATGCTGTTGGTGTATAGAGATGCTACTGATGTTTGTACATTGATTTTGTATACAGTAACATGGATTGAGCTGGAAGCCATAATCCTAAGCAAATTAACGCAGGAACAGAAAATCAAATACTGCATGTTCTTCCTTATAAGCAGGAGCTAAACATTGATCAGACATAGACATAAATATGGGAACAATAGACACTGTGGACTACTAGAGGGTGGAGGAAGGTGAGATGGGTTAGAAAACTACCTATCAGGTACTATGCTCACTACCAGTGTGACCGGATCCATACTCCAAACCTCTCAGCATCACATAATATTCCCATTTAACAAATCTGCACATGTACCCCCTGCATCTAAAATAAAAGTTGAAATTTTTCTGAAAAAATGAGTTCAGGCAAAAAAAAAAAAAAACCCTACTCTACAAGGTACCTTAAATTTTTAAGATATGGTCCTGGTAAAACAAGGGTATTTATAGTTTTTGAATTTAGAAGCACAGTAAGCAAAAGATCTGCTAAGCAACCAAAAGTAGGAGAATGTGATGAGTTACATTTCTCACTGTAATTGCTAAGCAGCAGCAAATAGCTTCCTGATTGGTACAGGTGCTTCCAGGGCTATTTAATAGGACATTCATTGTTATTCTTGTTGGTAGTTAATCTTCAACTGTGCTGCATTCAGGTCACCATGCTGTCCACCTGATCTCTAGATTATGTGTATTGCAGAAACATTTTAATGTTTTTCCTTGCAAGGATTCCAATCTAAACACAAATGATAAACTCTGCCTCTTCCGTAATCTGGTCCTGCTATGAGTTTAATACCAAACTCTCAATTAAGAGTGATACAGCAGACGGCTGCAGCCGTTATGGCAAGGACCATGGTGTATCGTTACACTACTTCCTCTTCCTGGGCACACAGGAAGTCCTCCCTTTCCAACCCGTCTTGCAGTTGTCTTGGGGGCCATGTGACTGTGTTCTGTTAATGAAATGCAGATGGAAGGAATATGAGTCACTTTGGGGTCTGGCTCTTAAAACATCTTGTGCAATTTTACAGCTTTCTCTTTCCTTTCTGGAGTAATTATTCTAGATAATGGAGCTCTCCACTGAAGCAGCCGAGACCCCATGTCGCTGGAGGAGAGCTGCAAAATAGCCAGACCAAGAAGCACCTGAGAAACAAACCTTTGCTGTATTAAGCCATTGAAATTTCAAGGTTTATTTGTTACCTTTTGCCCAAAATTGCTTTATGTTTCATAAGTAAATAAAAACTAAAAGCTAAAAAATATAAATAAATAAATAAATAAATAAATAAATAAATAAATAAATAAATAAAACAGAGCCAAGCAACCATTTGCTGACTAGAGGTCACACAGGTACTCTGAGTTCCTTGAAGAACCACCCTTCTGTTTAACATTGGGACTTGCAGAGCTCACCTGAACCAACCAATCAGAGCTCACCTGCCTCCTCGAATCAGGGCTCAGCTGTATCAACTAGTCAGAACTGCACCGCATCAACCAATCTGAACTAAGCAAGTTTGAATCTTTCATTTGAATAAATGAACTTGATTGGGAACCTAGGTGGGAGTTTTATCTATAAAAGCCAAACCCTCTCTTTGTTCTCCAGAACACACCTTTGTTTTATACCAAGGTTGTGCCTTCTGGGTTTGCAGACTGTGACAGGAATAAAGTCTTTTTCCTTCGAATTCCTTTTCCAAGAACTTTTGTTCATGATAGGTCTGTGTTGCTAGTGACTCCCACACTGAACAATGCAGGTATTTCCATCATTGAAGAAAGTGTCATTGGACGGTGCTAGCTAGATACAGTCTTAGAACTTCCTTTTCCTCACTTAGCACCCTATCATGTACAGTTTCACATATCATCATTGTCCAAAAACTGATTTTACTGTCTGAATTATATAGATGCTCTTGGTTTATTTATCTGGTCTTCTATGTTTGGATACTTAGATTGCTTTCAAATGGTCACTGTCATAAATGACACCCTAGTAGACATCCATGGGCAGCAACTTTTGTGTATGTCTCTATTGATTATCTTAGGATAAATGTCTATCTACAAGTAAAATTATGGGGCCAAGAGGACGTGCACTTTTTAAGGCTTTTGATGTATATTTCCAATTGCACTCTGAAAAGATCATATCAATTTATCCTCCCAGTGTTATTTATTTTAGTGCTTGCCAACATGAGAAAATAAAACTGTATTTCATTTTTATTGTATTTCTGTCATTATTAGAGAGATTTACAACTCTATTAGAGGTCCCCAGATCAATTGTATCTATTTATACAAATTATTTTATGAAATAACAAACTTGTCAAAGTGTATATGGAGAATACAGCTTCTACTCACCAAATAAAACATGGGAAGGCTGCCCAGAGCCCATCTGTGCATTAAACCCATGCTGGGCTGAGCAGAGGTCCAGTAAGTATTTACTGGTCTTGGCTGAATCTGTGACAAATGTGTGCTTCTTCCCAGTGACACTGCTTGTGATGGTGAACTTTTTTTGCTGAAGGAAGCAAACACAGACTTTAATACACTGATCATCCACAACCCTCCACTGACGCACAACTGCAAGAAAATGCTCGGTCCCTTGGTTCCACACCCTGTAGCAGGCATCCACGGGTGCATGGCAGATGCTGTCTGACTATGGCCTGATATTTTCCTTAGCTTAAAGAAAATCCCTCTTTTTAGTTTTTCCTTCATTCATCAATCAAATTGTTTATCAAACAATAACTATTTTTCAAGGAGTGTGCTGGGTGAGAAGAATATGAAGTGGGTCAGGTATATTGACCTCAGCAAGGACGGAACCTAACCCTCAGTGTGCATTATGACAAGCCACTAAGTATTCCCATTGTTTTTATTGTACAAACTCCAAGAAGTTGTAGACAAAATCTCAACTAGTTGGGTTATGAAAAAGATAAAAACACCTGTGTGTTATAATATTTCTGGCTATAATGTAGCAGGTTCTATTCTAAGTGCTTTATGAGTATGAATTTATTTTATCTTCACAACTACAGAATAAGAGAGATTCTATCAGTATTTTTATTCTACAGATAAAAAAAAAAAGAGCAAGAGTCCTCAAAATGCCACAGGAATTGAGGTCACACCACAAAGAAACGCTTCCCCACATTATACCTTCAAGGCCCACATACAAAGTGATAATATTTGTCCAGCTCACTGGGCTAAACTGGTGAAGATGACCTATATGAGGCTACCTGTATAGAGCCTTATGAAAAAAAAGTACAAATTTTTGCAATATATTATTCTGATAAGAACAATAAAATATATAGGTGATATTAAATATTAATTCATATAAAACTTCCAAATAAAATCTTCATTCTAGATATTCTATCTATTTCAATAAGAACCTTCAGCTTGCTCCTATAAAGGTAACTTTATAGAAACAGGGCTTATGCTTGAAAGGGCTTCCGGAAACCCCTGATCCTCTTTAAGGCTTATCTCTTTTAATTCCTGATAGTCACCATTTCTAAGAAACTCCATTCACGCATGTCAGATATCAACAAAAGGCAGATAAATATTCATTGCTTTTTCTTTGAGAAACCCCTTTTTACCATTAACCTAATTTTAGATAAGTTTCTCATTCTCTGTATACTCTTTACTTTTACTGACAAGTATAGTGCTAAGCCTCCTTGTGCTAATAGGAATGGATTCTGAATCCAATTGAACTGTACTATAACTAATATTTCTTTAAATAATGTGTTGTCTCAAGCATTCATAGATGCTGCTCCGCCAGTCGTAATAATTCTTCTTTAGTACTCAACTGATCATTTCATCCACACTTTTTCAAAGTCGAATATTTGCTTGAAATCCATACACTTTGTCAGTACACACTGATAGGCTTTCATGCAATCCTGACAATTTTATATTAAGTTTATTCAGATATTAAGCATTTTTTATATGAATAAGTCACTCTTTTTTTGAGACAGGGTTTCGCTCTGTCACCCAGGCTGGAGTGCAGTGACACAATCATAGTTCACTGATACCTTGAAGTGCTGGGTTCAAGCAATCCTCGCACCTCAGCCTCCCAAGTAGTTGGGACCACAGTGAGGCACCACCATACCCAGCTAATTTTTGTATTTTTTAGAGACAGGGGTATCGCTCTGTTGCCCAGGCTGCTCTCGAACTCCTGGAGTTAAGTGATCCTCCTCAGCCTCTGAAAGTGCTGGGATTACAGGGGTGAGCCACTGTGCCTTGCAAGAATAAATCACTTTTTAAAATGTAATAACTATTTTTTAACAAATCTGAAAAGGGAGAATCATTCACACACCCACATACAAACAAACACATACATCGAAGTTTCTTTTAGCTTATAAACTCTCAGCAAAACTCTCCTTTTCAGATGCCAGTGCTCCAAGGTATCAAACACCAGAGTGGAATGCTGATCCTATTTCTTGACATAAAGGTGAAAAGAGTCTTGACTGTCAAGAGTCTTTTCCATCATTTAATGGAAAATTCTTATCTGCAAACTTTCGCATAAGCAAGCTGCTACTCTGTGTATACGATGATGTATAACTCCAGTCTCTGGGTTTTCAGCACCAGCATGAAATCCTTTCTTTACATTTCTGTGGTTGCAGCAGAAACATTAGGTTGGTGCAATTACTGCAATTAGGTGGGCGCCATTACTCTTGCACCCACCTAATTCATGGCAGGTGCTTCTGTAACATGTTGGTTTCAAAGCATCAGTTTACCATTTTGAATATTTTCATCCCTAGGAGTTCTTTTTTTTCTGTTGCTATTTGTTCACCTGCTTGATTATTTGTATTTGATACATCTTTGTATGAAATACAAATAACATTTTTCTAGGCAGGGGAGACTTGTCATGAAACTAATGAAACTGAAGCTCCAGGGCCCTAACTTCCTGGGAGGAGCCCTGGCAATGCATTCACATGGTCTTATAATACACGGAAAGTAAGATGTTTTCACCCCAGTTGGTTAAGACCACTGACTCTTTCTACTCAGACACACCCTCCTTGCCACGTCCCTTCGCACCAGGTGGTGTTGGGTGATACAGAGCAGAACCCTTTAAGAAGTTGAGATGGGGATACACTTGGTTTAGATTTAGTTGGATTTATTTAGGTGATTTGAAGGCTTTTCTAGAATAGTTACTTTATTGCTAGCCATCCCAGAATACTCCTTCCATTTGTCTAACTCACCTAAAATCTCAGCAGAAAGGTGCAGGGCCAGCAGCCAGATGAAATTGACCATGCCCTATAATACCCAGCCCCCGAAGGAAGCATGAGCTGTACAGAGCCAGTAGCTGATCTACAGGAAGTTTTTGCACTCATCAGAAATGAAAAACTATAATTTAGTTCTCAAAAATACTCATCTAATTGAAATGCTTCCCTATCAGGGATATACTCTATAATTGTGTATACCGCATTATCAACACATGACACGTTTTTTTTTATGGGAATCCCATGAAATAGAATTTGTCAGGTTTCCTGCATTTGCAGCAAATAACTCTGTTGCAGCACTAGAAAGAGCAAAAATGTTTCTGTGCAAAGCTGCGTGTTTCATGCATCCTATTAATCCTTTCAATAATAAAAACAGATTTCAATCCACCATGCTAGAAGAAAAACTAAACTATATTTCTATCCTCTCTAGAGAAAATGATATTACAAAAGCGCCATCATACAGAAAAATAATCAGGGTACGCCATTAAAAATTTGAAAGGAAAAAAGTATTATAGGCATTGTCAGGAAGTTAATAAAAATATTACTTGCTGGCTTTTTTGATATCTGCAGGATTTGTTCAGCTTTTAAAAATTCATAAAGTTTTTGTGATTTCTTTTCTCATTCTGAATAAATATTTCTTTCATGCCATCTTTTGTAACTTTGTATTCTTTTTCATAAAGAGGGCCCTAAATAGCGTGTGTCTGCTTCTGTTTCCATGCATTTCTCTTCAGAGATTTAACTAGTGCTGATAACTATGGACAGTTACTAGCATGCATAGGTTTATTGTTCTAGAAGGAACAGGTTTTTGATTGAACAATCAAACCACACATGGACGCCAACACATCTACGAATCATATTCTTTGGAAATGTCATCTTTCTCTATTTCCTTTGCTGCTTTGGTGCAGGCTGGCAAGATGAACGATCTGTAATTGTTTGAAGACTTTTGGCCTCAGGTATTAAAAAGCAAAATTGAAACCAGTTTCCTGAGTTAATTTTCATATTGTTCACTGAATTCCCTATTTTGTGCTTACAGAAGCATAAAGAGTTCAAGTCATTTTCTGCGTAAGATGCTTGGTTTGCAGCAAACTGCTGGTGACATTACTTCATCTGACGACTGTTCCTTAAAAATAAGTTATTCATGCCAAGGAAGAGGATGATCATCAGAGAATGGAAACCCTGATTAAGTATTTTTTGAGCTACTAAGTTTGTCTTCAGAGCCTGATGACTTCCCAGTTTTAATCAAGAAATTAATCAACTAATTTAATCAAGAAATCCCCTGGTGGGGGGAAATAAATACCTGTAAAAGTTAAACCAATGTATACATAAAGTACTTACTTAAGGGGACTGTCGAGCTTTACAGCTTCAAAAAAATCCATTTTAAAAAATTACTTTTTAGGTTACCTGCATTTTTATGAATATTTTGAAATAGTGCATTGAAAAATCTGAACAATTAAACATGCAATAAGAAAATAAGTAATGTAGTAGTATTAAATTCATTAAACAAAGTTCTTCATATAAACTTTCAGTTTAGTTAATGTAATTTGAGTAATTAAAATTCTGAAAAATTCACAAATATGAATATTGTTTCATCTGAGTTTGGTCAAAATAATTTGAAAAAAAGTCAATTTCCTGATAATATACAGACCACTTGAATAAACTCAATTAAATTGTGCTCAATTATTATTTATTTTTAGATGTAAGCTTTTTTCCTGAAAACAAACAATAATTTATTATGAAATTTTATCTTGACAATGTGTTAACTTCAAAGCCAAGATGGAAGAAATAAAAGAAACATCCTGAAAATGAATGAAAGCAATTATGTTCTACTCAGGAAACTCTAACATCAGATAATGATACAAATAGTGATGTAATTAGAAAATGTTTTTAACCATTGAGAAAATTAAATAGGAAAAAAACATTTTTTCAGGGGCCGCAAGATAAAGAACTTCATATTTTATAATAAATCGTCACTGAAGTGACACAGGTACTGACTAAAACAACCACAGGACAGGCAGAGGCTGTCAGCCACCAGGGTACAGTGCCAGAGTGACTCACTTCAGGAGGCAGAAATATGCATGCAAATAGTGTTCAAGTAGATTCCAAATGTTGTATACTTAATGGGGATTTTCTATTCAAAAATAGACTTTGAAACTTTTAAGAGCTACCAAAAATTTGCAATCCTCAGTGTCCCGTAGCACACCTGTAGTCCTCAGAGACAGACCAGAGGCCTTGGCACACTGCGTGCAAAGGGAAAATTAAAACACGGGAAGAAGTTTCAAAACCTTTCAGGCTCCACTCAACCTAAACTACACTCTCAACCCCCATCTCCCACCTCCAACTTTGCTCTCAACGTTAATGGAGTCTCCAAATTAAGAAAACTTTACCCAGAAGGAAAGTGTAGCCCTTTAGACCAATGGCTGTTCATGGGGATATGTGGAGGTCCAGGCAAGGAATGTTAGGGAAGAAATGGCCTCCTGAGGACCTCCCAAAATCCCTTGGCAGACTTCTTCCAAATATCCTGCAATGCATCAGAATGCAGGTTAACAAACAGACAGGCTGTGAGAATGTTTGGTCAGGAGAAAGCCACATGACCCATGACCCACTGCTCCTTTAAACGGCCAACAAATCAAAGGAAAATGAAGTGCAGGTTATTTATCAACTGAGCTACACTCACATAAGTAGAAATCTTCCCGGTTTCTCTCCACTGAAACCGTAACATTGCAATTCTGCTGTTGTTTTTCACTTCATAGACTATGACACCCTTGGCACAGATCCCCAGGGCCATCTCCTCTTCTGGCCTCCTCTTCTCTGAGAATACTTGGTGAACCAGCACACCGTATTCTGGGAGCTGCTGAGTGACCTGGAGCAGAAAAAGGCTGATTTAGAAGAGACAGGCACATGGTTTAAAATAATGGGCCTCACGCCATTCACTCCATGCAAAACACACTGATAGGCGTTCTGAAAAGAAAGAGTAGAATTGTCATGTAAGTTTAGGAAACACTGGGTCAAACAGATTTATTTGCTATGTACAAAATTTCTCTGCACCTCTGATATGATAGAATTTTCCTTTTTTTTTTTTTTTGTAACCCAAGGAATACTTTTCTCATGGAATACCTAAAACAGTACTTAGAATACAGTTATTATGAAAATAACACAGTACAATAATAATATTCTGAACAAGTTTTTTAGAATTCATACTCTTCTGGGACATCTCAAGGTAAGAGATTTCTTTTCCTTGTTGTGTCAGAGTCTATAGTATTCTCTGTTCCAATCCCTTTACGTGACAGATAGAAAAACTGAGGCTAAGGCACAGAAAGTGACCTTCCAGATCACCAATGTTAGTTGTGAACCACCCTGCAGAGAAAATGACCATTCATTTTGGTGCTCCTCACCATGTAGCAATGCCTTCGTGGGGGTCCCCGTAGCCCAGGGTCTTGCCTCTGTTTACCAGGTTAGGGGAATAAATTTTGCCAGGGGCCATGGGTCAGTTGGAGCTGGGGACTGCGTTAGGCCACCAACTTCTTAAGAGACCAAAGTATAAAATGAACACAAATGTTTCTACATCTGAATGGCAGTAACTTTCCCACCTTCATCTTCACCAGGAAGACGCCAGTCCCCATCAGAAGGTTGATGTGTCTCTGGGACCCACAGCAAGGACCTCTTGCTCCAGGCATTTGAAGCCCTCTCAGAAGGGTTGTATTGCTGAAATCTGGTATCCCATTCCTACCCCCAACCAGAGAGCATAATGTCCTATCCAATCTCTCTCACCCCCAGGCAAGGTCACAAAAACAGGGACAAATTATGGCTTTTGAGAGCTCCTCTCTCAGGCTCCTTTCCCATTCACCGTTGATGAAGTCCATGCAGACAGCTATGCTGCCTGCAGACTCCACAGCTCTTCACACAGGGTTCAGATTACATTTCTGAACCCTAAGCCTCCTTCGTTTAACTTTGGAGAGACCCTGTCATCATCGTCATCATCATCATTATCATCATCATCATCATCAATATCCTTATCATCATACAAATCAATATTTATTGAGCGCTGGTGCTGAAATATCCAGTGGCCAGCCTGGGCATGTGATTAAAGTTTAAAAAGCAGGGCCACCACAAGATAATAGGCAGACGCTTTTAAAGAATTTGGTGTGATATTTCTTTTAAAAATTAAGCATTAATAAGTAGTCATTAAAAGTCATTAATAAAAGTCATGCCTTTGCTAGACTTAAACTTCTTCAGTTGTTTAGTATTAGTTTATATTTTAATTTATTGTTTACCTATACAAAGAGAGATACGATGCTTTTCAGTTCTCTGGGCCTCAAGATTCCTACTAGTAAAGCACCATGCTAAGCCTCTCCCAGCATGATTTCATTATTATTTAATCTTCAGAACAATCACAGAGATAGTGAAGCTATCCTTTTTCTAAGTAATCTGTCCAAGTTCCTGCTTTGGAGCCAGGAATGGAAATATGGAAAGATGAGCCTGTTTGCTCCTGAGTCTTCACTCTTAACAACTGAAATACAGGGAATCCAAAAGGCCTGGAAACATAGGTGAATACACTTAATGTTGTCAATGACATCTTCAATCTGTAAAACAATAAAATAATGATGTCTACCTCCATTTGCTGTCTGCTAGGGAGTCTCCTAGGATGCTTCTCCTGGCCCCCTTTGCATTGCTATTGCTGGGTGTCCTTTCAGAGGGTCATTTCCTCTCCATGTGCTTTGGGCCATCTTACTACAAGGCCTGTCTTCCTTACAACAGGTAGCAAAGTTGAGATGGGACCAAGCACTCCTGGCTGCCAGCCACACATCCCTTGCTGCATTGAACATTCTTCAAAACAAATGGATTGTTATTTCTGAATATTCATCAAGGGGTTCAGAATTCATCTTCTCTGACCTTATAACTCCACCTGTGGGTATCTACCCTAAGAAAATATGCTGAATAATCAGGACAACCCCTTCTCATAATGCTGTTCAGTACAGATTTGTGGGGTGATTTGGGGAAACCAGCTCCTGGCAGTAAACGATTTCCTAAAAACAGTACTGTCTTAAAATTGATTATCAGGCAGCCTTTACAAAGGATATTTGTAAAGCATTTGTAATTATCAGGAGAGTGCATTTGTTATAATGCTAAGTGGAAGAAACTACAGGATACAATCATTATGATTTCAATAGCAAGAAAAAAATCTTTTAATAATATATTAACAACCCACAGCTATGTGGGAAAATGGCTCCATGGTTGAGGAAGTTAGGAAAACACTGAATTCACCTTAAACAGGTTATTCTGAGATTAATAAGCTAATATAGTTGTGAATCTACAGACAGACTATGGTATTCAGCGCTTCCCAAACTGGACTTTTGCCCAGTCTGTGGCTAGTACAAGGTGCTGAACTTTCAGAGTTAGTCATCAGTGAACTGGGGACCAAGAGCTAGCCTCCCAATAATGGTCTTCTCCTTTTTCTAATGAAAAACAAGAGCCATGAGGAGCTATAATTAAATAATCCAGTGATTGCTTGTAGAATAGTAACTGGGCTCTGTGATGGGCACTGAGGATCCACGGCCTTCCAGGCATTTATAGCCCAGTAGAAGAGATGGAAAATGTCCAGAAATGACGGCTGCACGAGGTGTCTTAGCAATATATATCAACAACGTTCAAAATGTTTATTACCTTCCACCCTGTAATTCCACTTATGAGATTCTATCCCTAAGGAATGAAGCAGAAATACAGCTAAGATTTATATGGAAAAGATGCTAACCTCAGTATTGTTTTAAATAGTCCCATATTGGAAACCATTTATATGTTAAACAATAGAGCATTGAGAGAAAAAATTAGAGTACAATATATGTTAATTCAAAAGAAGTTTTCAAATGTTTAGATCTATGGGATTATATACATACATAAAAGTGCATGTATAATATAAAGCTAATTTTAAATATATATGCATATACATATATATATGAATGCACAGAACAAAGAGAGAAGGATGAATATACCTAAATGTAACTGTGCTATCTCCAGGCGGCAGAATTATGAGGAAATGTTTACTTTTATAATCAGGGAGGGGGAGAAAACCTTTAACAAACCCTCATCCTAATGAGAGGCTCCCAATGTGCTCTGGGGATGATGACAAAGCCCTGTCTAGTTTATCTCTCTGTACCACAGGCAGGCAACACCAGCATTAACAACCCCAACCAGTTTACCAAGGGAAACTGCAAAAGCAAGAGTGCTCCTTGAAACCGATAAAGATTACATGTAAATGGAATCAAATCTATTCAGTGCTTTCTGTGAATGGGGAAAAAAATGGTTTTCTGTATTTTTGCTTCTCAGCCTGGTAGTTTCTTTTACAATCATTTTTCATCGTTCAACCAGGAAGCGAGGGACCCTGACAGTGAGATCAGCACTCAAAGTCAGGGTCTGGGCAGAGGCCAGAAGGTAGCGTCCATCCTGCAGACATCTGCCGCAGGGTTGGGTCCTTGGCCTCTAGATTGGGTTCTGCAGTTCTGTGGCTCTGTGACCACTCATTATCAGATGGCTTTGAAGTCCCCACTGGTCCCTCATCAAGGGAATGCTTCGTCCCCTTGACAGGGAACACGTGTGCAGCCCGGACTATGGAGTGCCCTGATCATGCTTCGCCAGTGCTTCTCAAATGAAACGCTTGCAGGCTACACCATGTTAGATACAGGGATAGTTCTGCAAAATGACCAGCTGAAAAGCAAAGGCCCAACCTCATGTTGGCTGTTCTGTTTTCAAGTACCCATCTCAATTAAGGGCAAGAAAACACAGATGGAATATTTCTACCTGACTTCTGTACAGGGAAATACACAAATCTCCTAACTTCCTTTTAAAACTGCTCCCCCAATCAAATGGCCCAGCTTGTATCCCATCCTGGGGAAGCTGCGAGTGTCCTCGCACTTATCCCCCAGCTGTATCTGCACAGGCAGAGTAGCCACTCTCTCCCTGGTCCCCACATCTTGACATAGAGTAGCTGGTATTGTTCTTGTTCCATTGAGTGTTTATTGAGTTGTGTGCCTGTGGGTAGACCGCAGTCCTCCCCACAAGACATGGGGCTTCCTGGGGACAAAGAGCATGTGCTTTTTGTCTCCATTTTCCAGTGCCTGGCCCACAGCAAGGGGAGATTGTGGAGTAGCAAAGACTATTCATCATTGTGTGTGCCCACACGGGGAGACTGCAGTGCCACTGTTTTTGCCCCGCTGGTGAAGAGACGGTGGGCCCAAGCTGCACTCCTGTGCACAGGCCACAGCAGCTGTGCTATGTTGAGGACTGCTGCCTGCAGGGCTGCAAACTTAGGGTCTTGTGATGGCTTTTCTCTGGCTCAAGCGCTGATCTTGTACTTCTGTTGTCCTATGTGTCAACTATAAGAAATGTGGTCTCCCTGCTTGGAGGAAAGTGTCTGGAATGCTGATCTAAGATTTGTCCGGGCACAGTGGCTCCCACCTGTAGTCCCAGCACTTTGGGAGGCCAAGGCAGGTGGATCACCTAAGGTCAGGAGTTTGAGACCAGCCTGGCCAACATGGGAAAACCCTGTCTCTACTAAAATACAAAAATTAGCTGGGTATGGTGGCAGGCGCCTGTAATCCCAGAGCGAGACTCCATCTCAAAAAAATAAATAAATAAAATAAAAAATAAGGAAAAGCCCTACCACACCCACCCCAGCTCACTAAATCCTACCCTCTTTGGGGTCATTTCCAATGCCAGCTGCTTCCAGAAGCCTCTCCTTGCCCCTCCCTGCCTCCTAGAGTTCCACCCTTGCTCATGCCTCCTTGTGGGTCTGCACACACCTGGGCCCCTTGAGAAGGCTCTGGAGGGGATTGCTGGCTGCATTCCCTTGAAGACCAACACCTCTCTCCAGGTCAGGAAGGCCTTACCCTCAAGAACTTCAGCTCAGCATCCTCTCCCCACAGTGCAGAGCTGAGCCGGTGCATCTCTGAGACTTCAACCTGGACCCGTAGAGCGGTCATCCTCTCGATCAGACTCGCTGGGATGTAATCTTCAACGTGAAAGTATGGCTTACTCTCCACCTGCTGGAAGTAAGATGTAGAAGGGAAGGGCACAATCCAGACACTGGCCGGGGGACTCTGAGAGGAATGAAAACATTATCTGTAGTCACAATTCCAGGAGGGCGCCAGAGAAAGACACTTCCTCGAGGTGCCCACCTGGGATATTATTTTCTACTATATTAAAAACGGGGCCAAACCCTAGGACATGAACAGAAAAGAGAGAGTAAAGGAGCTGTTTTTGAGCCCCTTTTTATGCCAGGTAGTTCACAGAACACATAAGGCTTTTCTGATTCTCACAGGAATACTCTGAAGATGGCATTGTCATTGCCATTGACAAGACAAGCAAGGAGAGAGGTCACTCAACAGGGCGAAGATCACACCACTTGGAAGTGACAGAAACAAGATGTGTTCACCTCAAACCCTCACACTTTCCACGATGCCACACCTTACCAAAAGGCATAGCAAAACCCTGGCCCTAAAACTCTATGTTGTTTTTTTTTTAATTCATTTAGCATTTCTGTCTACATGCACTCCCAGAACATTGTCTCTTCTCACCAAGGAGGTCTTAGCTTTGGCATCATTGCTGCACATGAAGGTGTTCAAGGAGTAGCCCCCTGGAAAAGGGGAGACTGGATACCCCCAGCCCACCTTCATCAAGTCTGTTCTTTGGGAGACTGAGGCTGCATCCCCCCAGGAGAGGGTGGCAGGTGGAATCACTCACTGCTTGATGGTGAGTTCCCTGAACACAGACTCTGGGGCAGGTAAAAGTCTGCAGAAGTCCATGCAGGAGTGATCTTGAGGTCCACTATACAGAATGAGGAATGCAGGATCAGGCAGAGGGAGAAGCTGACCCTGCCTTTGTATTCCCAGATCAACATGTCCTGGTCTCAGGAAGCCTTTCCCAGCCTAACCCTGGGCAAGCCATTTCCCTCCAGTTGAGGGCAGTTACTCATGAGGAAGGCAAGTGGGAGCTGGGAGAATCTGGCCTCACTGGGGCTGGGGGTGAATGAGTTGGCCTGAGTGGGGTATCTGAAGAGAAGAGCACAGTGTCCACTACCTCCCACACTCCTGATGTAGCATGTCCCCATGTGGCCATGGACCAAGAATCCTCAGGTTGGTGCTGGCCCATGCTGGTTTTGAGCTCAGCTCCACCACAAACAGAGAGATATTGTTCAGCAGGCTAGTGCATAAAAAAGCATTTAGAATGCTCTTAGCATGGCCAAATTCCAGAACACTGGCAACACCATGCTGGTGAGGATGTGGAACAACAGGAACTCTCAGTCGTTGCTGGTGGGATTGCAAAATGGTACAGCCATTTTAGAATACAGTTTGGTTGTTTTTCATAAAACTAAACATATGCTTACCATATGATTGAGCAATTTGCTCCTTGGTAATTACCAAAAGGAGTTGAGAACTTATGTCCACACAAAAACCTGCACACAGATGTTTATAACAGCCTTATTCATAATTGCCAAAACTTGGAAGCAAATGATGTCCCTCAGTGGGTGAATGGATAAATAAACTGTTACATCCAGACAATGAAATATTGTCCAGTGCTAAAAAAAAAATGAGCTGTCAAGCCTTGAAAAGACATGGAAGAGTCTGAAATGCATATTACTAGGTGAAAGAAGTAGGTCTGTAAAGGCTACTTACTGTATGATCATAACTATATGATATTCTGGAAAATGCAAAACTATGGAAGTATAAAAAGATCAGGAGTTTGGAGGCAGGGAGAAATAAATAAGTGGAGCACAGAGGATTTTTAGGGCCATGAAATTACTCTGTAAGATACTTGAAAGTTGGTTATACAAATTGAGTAATTCTTGTCATATCCAACTAAATCAGAGACCGGGAGCCAGGAAGAAAATGAACTCGGGGCACATAGCACCTGCTCCAAGAATTAAATTTTTCCATAAGCCCAACTACTGAAAGGACTTGCTGTAACCCTAAGACCAGTTTTACCTAGTAGCTGCCGAAAAGATCTGCTGGGACTCTAAGACTTGTTTTACCTCCCACTGTCACTTACCAATCAGTTTTCAGTTCCCAAAAGCTTCTCAAGTGCTGATGAGTTTTCTTTCAAAACTATAACATTTTTATTCCTAATAAAAATCCCAACGTTCTCTCTGTTCGTGAGACACACCAAAGACCACCCAGTCTGTGAGTATACCCCAAACTGCAATTCTTGCTTCCCAAATAAATTGTTTTAAATTTAGAGATTCATCTCCATATTCTATTTGACTTCAACAATAGCATAATGGTAGATACATGTCTTTATACATTTGTCAAAACCCATAGAATGTACAACATCAAGAGTAAACCTCAGTGTAAACTATGAGCTCTCAGTGGTAATGGTGTGTCAATGTAGGTTCATTGATTGTAACAAATGTACATTCTGGTGCAGGATTTTTATGGTGTCTGTAGGAGAAGGCTGTGCATGTAGAGGGGCAAGGGATATATGAAAAATCCCTGTATTTTCAATTCAAATTTACTGTGAATCTAAAAATTCTCCAAACATTAAAGTCTATTAAAACTTTTTTTAAGTGTTTAGGATCTTTGATCCAGGATCCTTCTGGTAGGAATATATCCAAGAGAAAAGTCCATATGGGACTGAAAAAGCTCTGCGGTCAAGTACACTTATTTTTATGGCATTTATAAAACAGAAAAATCAGACGCAATTTAAATGATAATAATAGTAGTTATCACTTACATGGTGCTACTGGGTGAATACCCCACAATACAAGAATGAAGAAGTGAAGGAAGACTGGGAAGGCATGGCAGGCTGCCAATCCAGAGGATCACTAGGAAGGCCACCGGAGGACATGTACCATTGAGTGAGAAAGAATGCAAATTGAATGTGGTGAAGTTCACAACTGTGTAAAAACCCCCGCATGTGATCAAGGCAGGGAGAGAATGCACCCAGAGGAAAGTTATTCTGCTGTGATGATGTGATTAAGGAGATTTATTTTTATACTAAATTGTCTTTGTCTCCCTTTTTAAAATGCAAATGTAATCATGTTGCTTCCCTGTTTAAAATTCTTCAGGGGCTCCCAATCTTTCACAACAGTGGTTTCCAAATTATTTTTTTTCAGCACCAGAACCATTTATCAAACAAAACATAAGCCCCTTAGGAGGCCACACTAAGTCTTCCCAGATATAACAGGTGGCCCCCACCCAGCTTCACAGCCACCGAGGCTCAGGCAGCGGACAGGCCAGACTTCTCCTCTTGCCCATTCAGTGACACAGAGAGGGGCTCTCCTCTCTGAGGCCTCACTCAATGACCTTTGAAGTGTCCATTGCAGCACCTGGCATATAGCAAAGCAATGTGAAGTGAGCCCTGGTTGCGCTCTTTCTAGCTTACCTAACCTCACAGAGTCACAACTTTCTCAATGGCAAATGTAAATAGCACCGGCTTTTCCGGGTTGATTTAAGAATTCAATGGTGCCAAGCCCAGAGCAGGCCTCCCATAAATTAAGACTAAGTGGTTGTATAAATGAATGGGTTTGTGTAAACCTGTTGGCCTTTACATACGTGAGAAAGGAAAAAGGTCTGCCTTTGGGGGCCACATGGGGGCAGCAGAGAGCACCTCAGAAATGTCCTCAGGGCACTAGACAGGTTAAGGCTTGGCAGGATCTGGGGATGGGGAAGCAGAAGGAGAATGAGATGACACTAAGCCAGAAGCAGGGTGAGATCAGTCAGAAACTGGACGGGCACAGGAAAGCACCATAATGGAGTGTTGGTGCTGGTCCATTTTATGTGTCAACTTGACTGGGCCATGGGGTGCCCAGATATTTGGTCAAATATTCTGGGTGTGACTGTGAGGGTGTTTTTGGACATGACTGACAGTTAAATCCATAGACTGAGTAAAGCAGATGGCCCTCCCTAAAGTGAATGTACCTCATTCAATCTGTTGAAGGACTGAATTAAACAAAAAGACTGACCCTCCTGTAGAGAAGCAGCTCCTCTCTGCCTGACTCTCTTCATGCCAGTTCTTCTCTTGCCTTTGGATTCAGGCTTGGACTGGAACTGCACCATTGGCCCTCCCGGGTTTACAGCCTGCTAACTACACAGCTTGAGGCTTCTCAGCCTACATAACCACATGAGCCAATGCCTTCTAATACATCTCTAGATAGACAGACAGAAAGACATATAGATGACAGATAGATAATAGACAGATACATAGGCAGATGATAGATACATAGATGATGGATAGATAGATAGATAGATAGATAGATAGATAGATAGATGATAAATAGATGGATATCTTATCAGTTCTGTTTCTCTAGAGAACCTAGACTATTATAGGCTCATAGAGACAGGTCTGGGCCCCTGGAACCCTGGGGCAAGAGACTCTGCTGGACTGACTCCAGGTCTGAGTAAGAGACTATTACTCAAACTCCCACCTGCCTCCAGTGGATCTGGCCTGCTGTCCCCAACAACTCTAAGTGCTAGAGTTAAACTCAGGTTTGACATCCTGTATCTGAATCTACAGACTGAAGGTTAGCAGTTGTGTCATTTTATATCAGAGCACTATAATGCTGGAGGAGGTAGAAGGAAAGCTTGCAAGCAGCAGTTGTCACATGCTAGATACCACACATGAATTGCCATCTTTCACCCTTACAGCAGTTTTGCAAGAGATTGATGATTATTTTCCATTTTGCAGATGAAAAAGCCAAGGCTCAGAGAGAAAACATGCCAAGGCCATATAGCTACTGAACCAGAGGCCACAGCAAGAATGTCAACTGATTCACTGGGACACTCCTGGCTTAGAGCACCCTCCTCCCAGGACTTCCCAATGTAGCACCACCCGAAGCTGGCCTAGGCATGAAAAGGGCCCCAGGCCTGGGTACTGAGGGCAGGAAGGAGTTCAAGGGTAAGCAGTGACAGGGATTGTCAAAAGGGCAGGGAGGAGGTTAAGAGGGCCAGGCCAGCTCTGAGACACTGCCTCCCTGGGGCAGTGTCAGGGGCAGAAAGTGAAGTTCCAGTATCCATGGACCAGGGTAGTCCCAGGAGAGGGGACAGAGGGGAATTGAACTATACAGTCCCCTGACAAGCCAGCTGCTGATGTTCTGATGGATTACTGTTATCTGTAGTGTCTTCCAGTCCGGGAGTTTCAACTCCATTCATTCACAGCTCTTGAACAAACTCCCTGCGCTTCAAGTACTGCTTTGGTGCTGGATAAATGGCTACACCAAACAGACAAAAACACCCTTACCCTCAGGTGTTTTCTATGCTAATGACCAATAAAATGAATTCATCATCCCACATGATGACAAATGCTGTGAACAAAAACCCAGCAGGGTGAGGGAATACACAGGGACTTTGAAGACCCCAGGACACAGCAGCGCCTTCTGAAGCTGTACCGGGAGGAAAGCAAGACAATGTTGGGAGAGTCTGAGAAGTGTTTTCAAACCGCAGTCTGTAACCAATTGGTGAGCTATGAATCAATTTAGGGGCCCATAATCAGCATTTTTAAAACGAATGAGAATATAATAGGAGATATCAATGTGCATTGCATATAGAAAGGATGCTCCTTATTTCCTGAGGTTTTTGCTTCAGTTCTGTTCTATATACATGTGTAGGTGTTGGGTTTTAATGTCCATTTATCCATGGGACATGGCAAAAAAAATTTTACAACCCACTGTTCTCACTGTTTTAACTGTTGGGCTTGTCCTTGCTCTTTAATCCAGTTCCAGAACCAAGGCAGGCAAGTTATAACCAAGGTCACTCACAGCCCTCCCTCTCTATCCCACATACCCTGTGAGGAATAAGACACAGAACTCTGCGAAGGTGTCCACACCCAGTGGTGGCTACTGTTCCTCCTTCTCAGACTCAGGGTGTACTAATCTACTAGGGTTGCCATAACAAATACTAACTAGGGGGCTTAAACAATAGAAGTTCATTTTCTCATAGTTCTGGGGACTGGAAGTCCAAGACCAAGGCTTCTGCAGGTTTGGTTTCTCCCAAGGACTCTCTCCTTGGCTTGCAGAAAGCCCCCTTCTCCCTGTGTCCTCACATGGCCTTTCCTCTGTACTTGTGCCTCCATGGTGTTTCTTTGTGTGTCCAAATTTCTTCTTCTTATAAGGGCACCAGTCAGATTGGATTAGGGCCCACCCTAACAGCCTCATCTCAAATTAATCACCTTTTTAAAGGCCCTAACTCCAAGTACTGTTAATTAGGGGTTCTACATATGAATTTTGGGGCTCAAGACTCAGCCTATAACATAAGGCCAGACCCCGATGACGTAGCAGACTAGAACTTTAGGTAAACATGGCTCCTTTATTCACCAATGATGTAGCATCTCTGACCACTAAGTGCCCACTGGTGGTGGACATGTATTTCTGGCCACATGTGACTATTCACTTTCTTTTTGAAGGAGGAAATGGGAAACCATCCTTCCTCCCTCTCAGTCTATGCACTTGGCAGTGTGAGCTCTATCCCTGCCTCCTAGGGTGACCATGGGGTTAGACTCAAGTCTAACCAATCAAAGCATAACATCTCCCTACACAATGATTGGCTTCAGGTGGGCACATGACTCTATCAGCACCAATGGGAAAGAAGCCCAGGATTTCCATGCCATTTCCAAGGGAGAGACTCTCTCTCTTGCACAGGGCTGGAACCTGGAGAGTGGAATTGGAAAGCCATGAAAGGCAAATGTGACAGAGGAGAGCACAGCTCAGAGACACAAGAAGCCCAAGTCCTACTGACATCATGTGAGTTCCTATCACCCAGGCTCCAAAGTAAGAGTGATTGGGCTGGAAGCTTGTCACAGGGATGCTGGGAGGCTGAGAAAGAACCAGAACCCTTCAATTTTGCAAGACAATAAATGACATGTTTTATTCAAGCCAGCCTGAGCTTGATTTTCTATCACTTCTAATCAACAGAATGCTGTCCAATCACCTGTGCTGGCCAAAGGTATGGGAGGATGCGAAAAAGTATCCAGAGGGTCCACTTGTGGGGCCAGGAACTCTAGGGGGTTGGTACTGACCTTGAAAGGTATATAAGGTTGAGACGGATGTGCAGACATTATGGGAAAGGGCATTCAAAGGCTCAGTAACATGCCAGTTCTTAGGATCTCAAGGATTTAAAGGTCCTTTTGAAGATTTCTGGGGCAGAAGGGTGGAGTGTGTGTGGTTAACATTTCTTTCTTTCTTTTTTTTTTTTTTAGCAGTGAATTCCTCCTTCATGCAGTCCTCTTGAAGAAGACCATCTCTTCTCCAAGCTAAGCATTCCCCAGTGGCACCCAGCTTTTGTCACATGACAGTGGTGAGTGCTCTCCAAGGTAAAGCCCAGCATGCTGGCTGGGAGGTCACCAGGGAAGAGATTGGTGGAGACTTCCCCTCCCTTGCTCCTTCCTCTCTGCTCCTACTGATACACCCAGAGATGGACTCCACATTCAGATGTCATGTCACACTGCTGGGTCACACTGCTCGGTCTCTGTTGAGGTCTGTTCCCAAGCCTTTCCCTTCATCCAGAACATGGGCAAGAGATGAGGGAAGTGCTTCATAAACCCCAACAGCAAAATTACACTGCTGTCATAACAGCTCAAGTGGTTGGTTTCTCCTTCCTGCCTTGTGTCCCCATTTTAAATCATAATTAGGTAGGTAAATACATTAGCATAATCCTTCCCTATTAATAGGCATCTGAACATTAAATAACAAGTTACTAACACTATTAACTCCCTGAGGATTATAACAGAGGACTATCATTGGCAGTTAAATCAAAGAAACTTGCATATGATTCTGCTGCAGGGGCAAGGGCTTGGCCAAGATTAGGATTGCCATTTGAGAAGAGTGTATCCCAGAAAAATCAGTATTGGCCTTGGAGTAACACGTCTGGGCTCAAATTTAGACTTTACAATGTACTAGCCACATGAACTTCAGATCACTCTTCTAGAAAATTGAGTGATAATATCAACTCTATGATATTATCACACCAACTTACAATGTTGCTGCAAGAGCTAAGTGAGTTAACATAAATCGACAATGTCTGGGTAAATGCCAGGTACATAGTGATCTTTTAATAAAGGTTGGCTATTACTATTCAAAGCAAGACTAACCAAAAAGAACAAATCTGGAGACATTACATTACCTGACTTCAAACTACACCATAAGGCCATAGTCACCAGAACAGCATGGTACTGGTATAAAAATAGGCATATAGACCAATGGAACAAAATAGAAATCCCAGAAATAAAGCCAAATACTTACAATCAATTGATTTTTGACAAAGCAAACAAAAACATAAAGAGGGGAAAGGACACCCTATTCAACAAATGGTGCTGGGATAATTGGCTAGCCACACACAGAAGAATGAAACTGGATCCTCATCTCTCACCTTATACAAAAATCAACTCAAGATGGATCAAAGACTTAAATCTAAAACCTGAAAACATAAAAATTTGAGAAGATAACACCAGAAAAACCCTTCTGGATATTGGCTTAGACAAAGACTTCATGACCAAGAATCCAAAAGCAAATGTAACAAAAACAAAGATAAATAGATGGGTCTTAATTAAACTAAAAAGCTTCTGCACAGCAAAAGAAGCAATCAGCAGAGTAAAAACACAACCCACAAAATAGGAGAAAATCTTTGCAATCTATACATCCAACAAAGGACTAATATCCAGAACCTACAAAGAACTCAAACAAATCAGCAAGAAAAAAGCAAACGATTTCATCAGAAAGTAGACTAAGGACATGAATAGACAATTCTCAAAAGAAGATATACAAATGGTCAACAAACACATGAAAAAATGCTCCACATCACTAATGATCAAGGAAATGCAAATCAAAACCACAATGTGGTACCACCTCACTCCTGCAAGAACGGCCATAACCAAAAAATCAAAAAATGATAGATGTTGGCATGGATGTGGTAAAAAGGGAACACTTTTATACTGCTGGTGGGAATGTAAGCTAGTACAACCACTATGGAAAGCAGTGTGGAGAGTCCTTAAAGAACTAAAAGTAGAACTACCATTTGAACTAGCAATCCCACTACTGAGTATCTACCCAGAGGAAAAGAAGTTATTATACATAAAAGATACTTGCACACGCATGTTTATAGCAGCACAATTCCCAATTGCAAAAATATGGAACCAGCCCAAATACCCATCAATCAATGAGTGGTATATGTATATATATACCACAATTTCTTTATCCACTCATTCCATAAAAAGGAATGACATAATGGCATTCACAGCAGCCTAGGTGGAATTAGAGACCATTATTCTAAGTGAAGTAACTCAGGAATGGGAAACCAAACATCATATGTTCTCACTCATAAGTGCGAGCTAAGCTATGAGAATGCGAAAACATAAGAATGATACAATGGACTTTGGGGACTTGGGGAAAGGGTTGGGAGGATGAGGGATAAAAGACTACATGTTGGGTGCAGTGTACACTGCTCAGGTGATGAATGCACCAAAATTTCAGTAATCAACACTAAAAAACTTATTCATGTAACCAAACACCACCTGTTCTCCAAAAGCCTATTGAAATAAAATGAATAAATTAATATAAATAAATTTTAAAAATAAAGGTTGGCTATTACTATTGATGATGGTGATTATGATAGGAATTCAATAAATTAGTAAATTACTGTCTTTAGGAGGTACCTATTGGACTAGAACTAGACTAGAACTATATTACTGAGTATAAACTGGATTTATTCATCTTTGTGCCTCCCAGAGCCTAGCAAAGAGAGCTCAGTGAATGCTTTCTGGATGAATAGGTGGATGGGTGTGTGGGTGGCTGGGTGGGTAGATGGATGGATAGGTAGATGGATGGGTGGATGGATGGGTAGATGGGTGGGTGAGTGGATGGATGGATGGATGGGAGGATAGATCAATGGATAGATGAATAGGTGGGTGGGTGGGTGGATGGATGGATGGTTGGATGGATGGATGGATGGATGGATGGATGGATGGATGGATGGATAGATGGATGGATATATGAATAGGTAGGTGGGTGGATGGATGGATGGATGGAATGATAGACAGGTGAATAGGTAGATGAGTGGATGGATGAATCAATGAATAGGTGGATGGATGGATGGATGGATGGATGGATGGATGGATGGATGGATGGATAAATGTAGTTTACTCCAATCTAGCTGGTAGATGCTAACAATACTCAAAGCAGAGTCTCCACATTACTAACACATGCCCTCATCCTGTAACTGTTTTTCCAGTGACCCCACACAAAGGCCCCTGGTGTTCACCCCTACCTCCTTAGGGTAATTGCCAAACTCAGCCTGCAAGGCAAGGACCCCCAGCTGCAGCAGTATCTCTTCATTGCAGTACAGCCTCTCCTCCAGGATATCTTTCCGAAGCTGCAGGTAAAACTGGTGCCTTGTCAGGCTGTGCCTGGAAAAGAAGTAGCAATAAAAAGGGCTGGGTTGCTAAGGGAAAGGGAGAATGTTAGCACCAGTGGGTTTTCTCAGTGTGGGAAGTTGGAAAAGTAGGGAAGACGAGATGCAACTCAATAGAATTCAGAGGCAATGCCAGCAAGACAAGTGTGGTCTCCTGCATTTATACCATGCCTCCTGCCCCTCGTTTAGGGCCACTCTATGCCAGTCACTTCATACAAACTTACAGAGGTGTTTCTTGCTCTGGTTTGAGTGAGGAAGCTAATAACCAGTTCGGTGGTGTTTCTAATAAACAAAGAAATAAAGACGCAGGGATCAAACTGCAAACCCATGTCTCTGTCCTCCAACCCTCATGACTGGGCTGCTGAGTTGTGTGTTGGGGGTGAGGGGGCATTTTGGGGTCACAGACAGAGAATTTTGACCTTGAGTGGAGTATGTCTGAAACAAAGGGCATATTCTCATTCTGACCAGGGCCTGCATAAAAAAACTGATTTTCCTCCTTTGTTCTATCTTGATCAGAATCCAATCAACAGAAAACCAACCACAATAGCTATTGTTATTTGTATGTAATTTACAGTTTGCAAAGCACTTGTCGATCCATTACCTCTCCGTCAGCCTGGACATACATAAATCCCTTAAGGAACAAATGAACAGGTTTGCAGCACTCACTGGAGCAGCCCATAGTGGCTGACAAAGAACTTTATCCTCAGGAAGAGTGTGAAGGTATTCATGGAGGTCTTCTGAGGCTGCTCTCTCCAGCCTTCAGGAGCTATTTTGCACAATCTGGTTTCACTGTCCAGGAAAAAGAACTCTTTGCCTGAAATGGAAATAGAGCATGTGTGGAAGGAGAAGCAGTAGGGATTGCACCATCTCTCAGACTCATAGCCCTAAGCCCTACCCAGAGTGTCACACACGAGCTGGGTGAGTGCAGGAGTGGGAGGTAAGTCTTTGCGTACCTGGTAGCAAGGAACCTTTGTTGGGGTCATGGGGTGTCAAGAAGGAGCAGACAAAGAGGAGAGGGTCAAATAAGGAAAACTCAACACCAAGAGGAGAAAATACCGTTAGTTATCTTATCTTACAAGATGTCGCTTAATATCTGCCTTCAGCTATCATCTCATGGGTATAAAATGGAAAACCAAGGAAAGGAGTTTGACTAAGTTTGTGCAATGTGCCAGAACCCTCCACCTCAGCTGTACCAACCCCCTCCTCCCCAGCCATGGACTCCTACAGTCCAAATATGTGTGTCCTCCCAAATCCATATGTTGAAACCCTAACACCCAATCTGATGGCATTAGGAAGTGGGGTGTTTAGGAGGTAACTATGTTTAGATGAGATCATGAGTATGGGTCCCCCATGATGGGATCAGCATCCTTATAACAGGAGGAAGACACCAGAGCTTCCTCTCTCAGCCATGTGAGGACACTGCGAAAAGGAAACCTCTGAAAGCCAGAAAGAGGACCCCACCAGGAATGGAAATCAGCTGGAACCCTGTTATTGGACTTTCCAACCTCCAGAGCTGTGAGAAAGAAGGGTCTATTTTTGAGCCATCCCCTCTGTGGTATTTTGTTAGAGCAGCCTGAGCTGCCTAAGGCATGGTGTAAGTGGAGTCAATTTGCCCTTTGACCCAAGTGGTTCCAGATTGAAAATTCCACCAACCCAAGCTCAGGACTTCAAATCCTGGCAAGTGTGTCCTCCAGTACCCCTGGGAGGGAGACTGAATCAGCCCCAGCCACTGAAGGCCCCTCCCCCACCCCTCTGCTCTCTTCACAGCAAAGCTCAACCCCTCCAGTGCCCTGGGCCACTCCTGGGGACTGCTGCAGGTCTGCCCCTGCCCTGTTCTACCACACACTCAAAGTGGCTCCTCCTTCTCAGTGCTCCACCCTTTCAGCCCAAAGCATTCTCTAGCAGCTTGCCTGGGCACAGGAGTCCTGCCCAGTTTTGGAAGGCAGAACTTTTAAACTGGTGACCAACCTCTTCTTCCAATGCCTATGCATGCTGGGGTGGGGAGGGGGTGTCCAGGATTTAAACAGCTGTCACCACACCACACTCAGACCTCCATCCCCTCTGCCACCTGCCTCTGCCCTTACTGCTGAATCTGATGCCCCACACGGGACTCACCCTTCCCTTAGGATGAATTCTCCCCAAGAGATAGGCAGTTCCCCACCAAAGGTTGGTTGGTAATCCCTCCCAAGTTGGTCTATATCCAAACCCTAGAGGTAGTCACCTTTGAGTGATTTCCCCAAGATGACCCTAGCTAGGCAGGTGTAAAATTGTCCATGTGGGAGGGGCTCAGGATGGCCACCTGATTGGGAGAAGGCAGGTAGGAGATAAGTGGATTTGTGAGTGCAGGTGCACTCACAATGCAAGCACACTGGATTAGATTGCATTTTATGGATCAATAACAACACAATTCCTAAAGACACCTGTATTCACAGGTTATGAAAGGTCGAGCAAATATCAATTGATCACATCAAAGCATATAACAGTTGTTCTTATTTGTGAGAGAGATCTTTAGAAGGTCTGATGAGAACTATGGGGATAAGAACATGCTCTCACCAGCCCTGCTTGGTACAAAGAATAATCATACAAGTTCGTGAGCTTTTCCTACTGGAAATGGGAAAATAGAGGAACACTGAGATATGACGCCTAAGCCAGATGGGCTGGGAGGGAGAGGATTTCGCCAGAAGGCCAGTGTGATCCCAGCTCAGCCTCCACACAGTGGTTAAAGAAATCCAGCTGTGGCAGCATGGTATTTATAGTAATGGTGTGAAAGTTATCAATACCAAAATGAGGTCATTTATGTCTAACCCTGATAAAGTGCAGCCAAAAGGCCATGAGGGAGGGGCACTCATGCATATGCCTATACCGAAAAATACCACAGGAAATGTTTTCCATTCTACAGCTTGCTACATGAGTCACACAAGGATAGCCAGCAGCACAAGGACAGCCAGCCGCACAAGGACAGCTAGCCACTCACACAAGAACACTTGCCTGACACTCTGTCTCCACTGATGAACTGATGTCAACTCCTGCAATAAGCCCCTAGAAAAAAATCATCTTTTTGTCTCAAAACAACTCACATGTACTTCTCTCTTTTGTCTTTAAAAGCTTCCCCTTCCCCCAGCCTCCTGGGATGCACCTGTAGTCCTCTAGAACATGCATATCCCGGATTGCAATCTCCTGCTAATTCCAGAATAAACTCTTTCTTTGGAAAGCCTGTCTCTCTTTGTTGTTATTTTAGGTTGGCAAAACCTGGTGTTAGAGATGTGGGATCCAAAAATGACAAGCCTTTTCCCATACCAGCGACCGCAGAACACGTGCAGTGCCCACTGGAGCCCATTGTGCTCTCTGCTTCCAGGAATCATCTTTCTGCTGGTGCTAAGTTCTGTCTTGGATTTGAGCACCCTCATTTTGGCTTGCTTTGACTTGATTCGAGATCTGGTTTTATAGGTCTGAAGGACATGGTCCTTCTTCTGAGTATTCTTTTGGTTTCACTTTTGTAGGGGATTTGGCATCCTTTCTGATGTGTACTCTTTTGGGGTTGGTTGTTTGTGTACAGAATTTAAATTGGCATCACATAGACTTTCCAAACATAATTCACCCCATGAATTTTTAAGCTTATGGACAAATTATACCAAAGATAATTTAGAGCTCCAATGGCCAGATGGAGACCATTTGAACTGCCCAAGCTTGTTTTTTCCTTAGAATTAAAATTAGAAGACTGCAGCTATAAGGTCAGTTTGAATGGGGCACATATTTCAATTGGCATCTTGAGGCTTCAAAACGCATTCAGGACTCAAAAATGCCTTAATGCAAATATCTCAAAGCTAGCTGAGACTCATTTGTCTCCAGAACCTTCCCTCCCCTATCTACAATTCCTCCTCCTCTTTGTCTTCCTCTAGCCGAACTCCTCTTTTTTCCAAACTGCTCAGCTACTAATCTAATTCTTCTCTCCATGACCACCAAGTCATTTTTTAATATGTGAATCTTCTAGGGAAGTTCTAGATGGGTGGAATAAAGAAGTTAAAATATGCCATTTGGGCCTATCAGCTATTTAAGTTAAAGGCACTTTTAAGCGCACTTTTAAGAGCAGGTGCAAATTGGCCACTTTGACCCTTGTGTTATTTCTTAAAGAAGATGAAATTCCCATGTGATAGTCATCCTCCCTCTCCTGGAAGGAAAGGCAACATCCTTATCTTCAAGGACAAGAAGTTTAGACACAGAATACCATACAGACCTTGTTGGAATAACTCTGATCTTTTAAGCCTCCTCATAATTTAGTCCCATTTTCACAATTAACTGTTTTTTGTCCAACCCAGTAACTAATTTGGTGGAGTCTTCATCTTCTTATGGGGGCTCCCATGCCACATAAAACATTTATTATGCTTTTCTCCTGTTGATCTTTCTTATGTTAGTTTATTTCTCAGACACAGCTGGAGCCTGTGAGGATAAAGGATGGAAGTAGAAGTTTTCCTTCCTTACAGTTTCTGGCAATGAGGATGGGACCCTAAGAGGCTGGACACCCCACTCACTCCAGCCTATGGATGAGATGCTGAGAGGCCTGACAAAAGCCTGCAAAAGGTGGGGGGATTCTTTCCAAAGCCAGCTTTCCCAAATATCTATGGATAGTGCCTAGCTAAGAGAAGAAGGTAAAAATTTTTTCTTGTCCCTTCTTTTCTAAATTTGAATTGGCAGGAGAAAAACATTTGTAAGGTTGTTCTCTGAATTGTGACTCTTGTGAATTTGGTTCTAGGTTCTAACAGAAATCGCTCTTTTTTTTTGTTTTTTAATCTCTGTCTTCTGTGTGATTTACCACAAGGATAAAAGTTACAATAAGACTCTCCTTTCATCTTGTTTTATGTCTCAAGAGCTCTGTAGCCAGTGAGGATATCTTCTCTGGTCTCCACCAGCTGGGTGGTGGAGACTGTCAGGTTTGCATCAGATGGCGAGCCAGCTGGCTAGGAGTCTGAAACATGAAGCATCTCCTTGTCCCAGAGTGCCAGCTCCCAGGGGAATTTGTCTCAATTGTTTCAACCTCCACTACCTTGTTAACAAGTAAGGTCTTTGTTTTTCGTCTTTGGGAGAGATGTTGGATCTCGAGGGGGGTACTGCATTTTTCACGCTCTTTTTGTGGAAGCCTCTCGTATCCATGGTTAAGACATAAAAGGCTTATTGGCTTTGAGTCACAATTGAAGTGGTTATACCTTTGGATATTTGGACTTTTGTATCTAAAAGTATTTTTAGAGAGCCCTCATCATGAACAACTGTCCTATTGGTACATGCGAGAAGATTTGGCTTGAAGGAAGAAAATAAACACTTTTATAAATTAACTGTTTTCTCAGAAAAACAGAACTAACCTAAATGTTTTTTGAGTTCAGGTGATCTGGTATAATTTTTGGTAAATATAGAAGCTAGTTTAAGTTTTTTGGTTCAATTAAAATAGTCATGTTTGGAGACTTGTCAACATTAAACATAATACAGACATACGACTTCTTCTATCTGGATTTATCAAGCAAAAGCGTATGTATGTTTAAGATGGTAAAATTGTAAATGTAACCTAAGAATAAAACATACAGTAAAAATAAATTGCTTGATGTGAGACAAATGTGACAATGAAAAAAGAGAGTTAAAAAAAGCCATATGTTTTAACTTTTAGGTTCTTTGCTTCTGTGGTATTTTTTAATACTTGCCTGATTTACTAACAATAAAAATAACGTAAGATAATGACTACATTTGTTTCATGTCTTATGGAGTTTTTATAAACAATTCAAACATAATTGTTAAAACCAAGTGAATTAATAAATGTAAATATAAATGAAATAGAGTATAAGTAAGCTTTTCAACAATGATTATGTTTTATAAGATATATCTACTTAAAATGGTTTATAAAATCTTTTTGGTTACTTAAAACATTACAGTTATAGTAAGTTAAATGAAATGATGAATATTCATTTAATAGACCACTTCCAAATAAGATATTATGCTGAAATATTAGTTGTTGAACATAAGTTTAAGCTTATATACTTTTGTCTCCTCATTGTAGAGGAACAAAAGATATTTGGGTCTGTTAATTAAAATGCTCTATTCTACACTGAAAAAATGTGCTATGAGGAAGCATATATTTCTAGGTGTTATAAAATAATGTTTTCACAAATTTGTAAAAGGCAGTTTATGATTGCTTACTTTCTAGTTTTCTGGTTTTCACTAGAAATTAAAGTTACCAAGAGTTTTAAAATTCCAATTACTAAATGTAATTCTGTACACAAAGTGTACAAAAATGTAAGATATGTTTGGGTGAGAAAAGTTAAAAGGAAGATATGAGAATGTGTTTTTATTTGTTGTCGTTTAAAAAAGTAATTTTCTCTAGTTGGAGGCTAGTTGAGGATTGCTTCAAAACAAATAAATAAAGAAAAAAGTGATATCAATAAAACTGAATAAGAACATTATAAATGGTTTGAGAAAATTGCAAAAGGTTTATGGAAGATGAATATTATGAAAGAAATTTTTGTGTGATCAAGATAATTAAAATTAGAAGAAAAGTATTTATTTATGTTTTTCTAAAATTGAGCCTTAATATCAATAGCATACTTGTGCAAAACTATTATTTTGTCTTCTCTGTTAATAAAATACAGTTATATTGCAGTATTAGCCTCTACTGTTAATATTAATATGTTTTTCCTTAACTTTTTAGTAATTGGCCTAGAAAACAAAAATTTTGTGTTTTATCAGAATAGTTTCTTGTGCTCTGTGCTGTATTTTATTAGCTCTTTTATTACTTAAAAAAGTGATCTTCTCAATATTCAAAGAGCTAAGTTTTGACCATTATGTATTTGCCTTTTGAAGAATTTTAATTATCACTCTGGTTAAATGAATGACAATTATTTTACAGTGACCAGTGATTCTACTTTGATCAAGGGTTTTAAACCTTTTGACAGTTTTGACAGCTTCCCAAAATCAAATTCTAAATTGAGTCTTTTTGACCTTGAATTTACTTTGGGTCTTTCCAGCTGGGCCCTTGGAAGCAACAAAGGATATGTCCCTCACCTTGTAAAAGAGGTGTTAAACTAATTGGGTTTATTCAATATGTTAAAATGCATGGGAAACATTATCCAATAATAAGTGGTGCCAAATCTTTAAGTTATATTTATAAATATAGTTTTGATATAAATGTTCCTAAAATTGTACAAAATTGCTAGAATTCCGATATGTCTTAGTATAATATTTGGTTATTATGTTAAAATGATATATGCCATAGAAACAATGAAATTTATCTGTAAATTGCTGGTTATAATAAACTCTCTTCAGATTTTTAACCATGGCCATTCTAAGTCCTTATCATCCATGGAATGTTATGGTGTTGGTACTTTTCTAAACGCATTTGCAATCAGCTACAGTCCAAAAATTGCTTTTTCTTCAAGGAGGTTCACAGAAAGGATGGAAAGAATTCTGACAAGTTACAGGTTTCTGATAACTTCAAGATCAAACCATTGGACTAAGGAAAAATGTCCAGGACACTAAAGAAGAAACAGAGTTTGTGAAACTGCTAACAAAGATCAAGCAGAACAAGAATTAATTACATGAGGCTGAACGAACGGATGAAAAAGAATAATGGGTTTTTATAATTTTTACTTGAAATTTCACTGGTTCTTTAAATGTTTTGTTTTCTAGATTTAAGGAAACTTTTTCCTTGTATGTTATCTATAGTTTACAACAATATAATAAAGTATACTCTTGTGAACAAAATTAAAATATTTGCTTTTTCTCCTTTCCTGATCCAACCAGAATTCTAAAACTATCCATAAGCATTCTTATTTTTATGATAATATAGTTATTTATATAAGTTCAATAAAATATGCTCTCTTTATAACAGGATACAATACTTAAAATTGGTTATATTACTAAGGCTTTGACTTGGATGTCATATTTGAAAATGCACATAAAGTTACTTCAGCCAAACTGAGGTTTGTCTTGATTTGGCCTCCTAGCCTTGAGAGACTTTTAAAAGTCAGGCTGAGATTCTTATCAAAAGTTCTAGCAGAACAAGCTTCAAAGGAGCCTACGTGGTCAACCACTATTCTTGATGCACTTATGCATCAAGGCCAAACTTGATGAGGCTAAACTTACTTAGTAAACAAATTTGTCTTATTGTGATTATCTTTAGTAAAAATGGGGGTAACTGTAGAAAAGAAATTATGCTTCTAAAGGAAGGTGAAAATTGTATTACACCTGTTATCTGACTGTAGCCCTGTTCATTGCTTTTGTGTGTTTCTAATCTACCTGTAGACTGAATTGGACCCTGAATTCTTCTTGCTTCCTTCAGTATCTGAAGAACAAAGAACAAGAACTTCTCTGTTCCTAAAGCCCTATAAACTGAAGCTGAACAACAACTCAATGTAAAATTCTAGGAACAAGTCTCCTGCCTGATGTGCAGGCTACATAGAGAGTTCACCAAAATGCCCAACGCTGGTCTAGTGCTTCGAAATGACAACCAACACCTATGAAACAGAACAATGAACTCCAGACAGACTTAGCCTCAGAGCCACTCTTTCCAAACCTCCATGTTGCTTAAATGAAGCTGAAAGATGTTTTTACATCAACTCCTACTTGCTGGTCATTTCCCTTCAACGTGAGAGTAGAACAACCAGGAAAGGTCCATCCCAGTACCGAGGAACAATCAAAACCTAACCACAGGATGATCCAGCAGTGATGCTTTCAGAGCAATAACTTGATCAAAAGGGAGAAATGTAAACATTATCAATACCAAAATAAGTCACTTATATTTAACCCTACTAAAATGGAGCTGGGAGGCCATAAGGGAGGGTCACTCATGCTCTATGCCTATAATGAAAAATACCATAGAAACTTTTTTCCAAACCACAGCTTGCTACATGAGTCACACAAGGACAGCCAGCAGCACAAGGACAGCTCGCCACACAAGGGCAGCTCGCCACTCACACAAGAACACTTGCCTGACACTGTTTTCACTAATGAACTGGTGTCAACTCCTGAAATAAGCCCTTGGAACCAATCACCTTTTTGTTTCAAAACAACTCACATGTACTTCTCTCTTTGTCTATAAAGGCTTGCCCTTGCCCAACCTCCTTAGATGCATCTATAGTTCACTATGGCATGTGGATCCTAGATTGCAATCTCCTGCTAATTCCCAAATACACTCATTTTTTGGAGAGCCTGTCTCTCTCCACTGTCATTTTAGGTCGACAGCAGAAATAAAGAGTCTCTAATAGAACGTCAGAGAGGGAAGAGGGTATAGAAACCCTTTTTCTTGGATATTTAGAATGGAGTCTTAATTAGCTCCTAGGGTCAGGGTACTAAGTCCCCATTAGTCCTGCATCATTAGATGGAAATGCTTTTAACATTTGCTTGTTTGTCTAACTTCAGTGCCCTGAGATCAATCAACCAGATCCAGCAAGCCACAGAAACCCACATCTTACACTCATTATTTCCTGACAACCTTCTGCACTTGCTTGATGCTTTATCCATGAGTACTTGAAGCCCTCGTCATGCTGACTAATGTCTAGGCATACAAAGGGAGGCACCCAAGTCTCAAACAGTTTTCCCAGAAGAAACAGAGCTCAGGTACCCAGATACCTGGGTTACCAGAGGCACCAGGCCAGCTGTGAGCTGCCCAAGAGATGCTTACTTTTCATATACGCCAAGCCAAAGTAGGTGAGTTCCTCGAGGTTGGCAAAGGATGTCACGGCATTGAAGACAGCTCCCACTGTTGATTCAACATCACATTTTACCTCCAGGTGCTGCCCGTTCAGCAGGACCACACAGAGGTCCCTGAGAGCCAAATAGGATTTCCCTTTTTTGGTCTGAAAACAACAACAGTATCAATTATACTACAATTATAAGTCATTGAGCCTTTAGTGTGTGCTGGTTACTGTACTAAGCACTTTACACACATTGTCTCATTTAATTGACAACTCTAAAAGATAAGTATATTTACAATTCCTATGCAGCAGATGAGAAACTAAGGCTCAGAAATGGTAAGAGTCTTGCCTAGGGTTTGCACAGTTTGTAAGGCAGGAACTGGACTCAAATCTGAGCCTTCTGCCAGGCTCAGCAGGGGCCAGGAAAGCTGGGAGGCCTGTCTGACTGACGTCTTTCCCATGCGGAAATTCCAGCTCTCCCTTGGGCTCTGCTTCCTAAGAGGGTCACCCAGGGCCCTCATCAATGAATCATATGGCCCTGGATCAATCTGTCGATCTGACATTGTCTCCCCAGGTCCCAGCAGAGCACAGGTTAATTAATTCTAAACTTCAGAGAGAATTTGGGTGGGTGCAGATCCAATGAAGAGACAGAGCTGGAGCAAGGGGATTACCTAGACTCTAGAAATGGGTCGGCAGAGCCAAAGAGCCTCCAGAGTCTGCCTTCTGCCTCTTCATCTCCCACCACAGCCCCACCCAGACCACTGTTGCCTTGGTTCAGCCTCCTGGATAGTTCATCACCAGGCAGCCACCTGGGCCATTCTGTCTGTGTCTTTGCACATATGATACCCACTGCCCCTAGGGCTCTTCCACTCCCTCCCCATGTGGCAAACTCTTATGGATCTGTCAGGTCAGGCTCTGGAGCCCTTGTCTGTGGCTCTTCCTGAGTATCCCCATGTCCCAAAGCCCAGCCTGGACCTCCCCCAGGAAGTTCTCTCTAGAAGGCAGTCATGGACAGACACTAGCATATGTGGCCTTAGTGCCATCGAGACCATGCCTGTGGTCATACCCTGACACTCCTGGCACCCAGGGGCAGCCTATGCACTCCAGGGGCCAGAGCAGATCTGAGGACCCTGTGGGAGGGGGTTTCACACATGCCGCTGGGCAGGGCTGATCACACAGGCATACTCCATGCCACCTTGGTTCCTACACTTGCTGCACACCTGAGTCACCTGAGAGGTGAGGAGACCACTCCCAAGATGGTTCTGTCAGTCTGGCACAAGGCCTAGGAAATCAATATCTAGTAAAGCTTCCCAAGGTGATTTTGCGAGAGCCAGGAAGGCTGGGAGGCAGGTCTGACCCGCTTCTTTCCCTTGCAGAAATCCCAGCTGCTTCCTGAGAGGGCTGCCCAGGCCCTCAGTGATGAATCGTATGCCCATAATGGGCCCCTGCTTGGGTCCAGTGCTCTGAAGCTGCCCTCTGGACACTCTTAATAGTTGTGTTTGGAATGTGTGTTTTCTGAGTGAAGTCCCCAGGACAATGAGCGAGTATACAAAGCTTTGACTTTCAGCAGTCCTGCCTCCCCTCCTCCTTGGAGGGTTCTGGCTGCCAACTCCTCTGCTCTCTGAATCCCCATGCCTTGCCCAGCCTCCCCTGCCCCTTCATCCTCCCCACACAGTGACCTCTGCTGCCCTCCACTGAGGGCAGCCATGGCTCTCACTGCCCCCTAGTGATGCCTTCCTCAGGGGCTGGTGGAGGAAAGGTCCCATGCAGGCACACGCACCCAAGGCATGTCAGAGCAACCATGACAGTGGCTGTCCCCACCCTGGGCCAGGAGCACCAAAGCTCTTTCCCTGGGCAATTCAGCAGGGACAAGCATCTCACCCACCCAGCTCCCAAGCCAGGTACCAAACGCATCTCCATGCAAAGGGTGTAACCCCTTGGGGGACCACTGATTGTCTGGGCTGGGACAGCAGAGTCATGGGAAGGGAGCTTGGGCTTTTTCACCCTGCGTGGGGCATGGTGCATGGATCCAGCAACTGGTGTGGCAAAGTCACAGAGCAGGGTCCCAGGTACCTGCAAGGGTCTCTGTTCACCTTGTGAATATCCCTATGCCCAAGAGAATGTGACATTAAACAGCAAATAAAAAATAAAAATACCATGACATGATGAGACAGAGAAAGCACATATAGAGAAAAAAGAAAATGTTTTATATTTTAGTTCCTGTGGTGGCTGCTTTTGAACACAGGGTGCTGCCTCTTCATGTTTCAGTGAGCCTAGTTGCCAGTGTTTCCCACGGGACAGCCATGCTGTAAGGGGAATCTGTTTTGTTCCCAACACCCACAGGGAAGCAGAAGGAAAGGGTGTGTGTACCAAGAACTCCACTTGGAGGGAGAGATAGGGAGCTACACTGACTGAGAACCCTGGGGACAGGAAAGGAGGGGCTAAAGCAACAGGGGCAAATGCTCCAGCCCAAGCCAGACAAACAGAGTGACACAGGAAACCCTGGGAATGGGGCCTCCTGTTTCCCAGGTAAGGGACAGAGGTCTAAAAAGTATTTTACTGAGGGAGCCCTCAGTCACCCTCATACCCTTCTTGCATCTTCCTAGAGGCAAGGGTCCAAGGTCCCCTCTGAGGATTATAACTAGGGTCCTAGACCTGGTGTGTAGGTCAAGATGCTCGCCCCAGACAGAACTGGGACAATAGCACTGTTCCCATCGCCTGGAGTCTTGGTACCTAAGCACTGCACAAGCATCCCTGCAGAGCGGGGGAAGCTGGCCCCCATCACAGCAGGTCTGGCCCATCTACCCGGTGGGTAGAGGAGTCTCCAGTCACCTAAGCCATGTGACCACAGGGATGTCAGGAAGGGGTCCCTGGGTGAATTGTCCCTTCTTCCCCTCAGCTGAGGGCAGGTGGCTTGAAGGGGATGGGCAGAGGTGGGACTGGGCTGAGGAGGCCATGGCCCTCTGACTTGCAAGCCCCATACAGGAAGTGTCCTCAGAAGGTTGTAGACCCCCAGAGTGAGCCACCCTGACACCCCAGCCCCTCACACACCAGCCTCCTTAGCTTTAGTATTTTCATGCTTTGGGTAACTCAATCTTGCATACCTGGGGTGTAAAAGTTATCATCCCACTTCATATTTTTTGTGCCCATGCAGGTGGACCAGGCACACAGTGGGTGCCCGTCAGCGTGTGCTGCATAAATTGATGCAGCTGGTCATTGCATAGGAATTGGAGGCCCCTGTCAGGCAGGCATCCCACGTGCACTGACCAGTTTGCTTCAACACTTTCAGGACTCAGGTGTAGAGGAAATGATGTCAGTGCACTGCAACAGACATCCCCTTGACAGGGGGGTGCATGGAAGCTGGGATTCAATGGGATTTTGCTGGAGTGAGCCAGAGGTGGGCTCATTGGTGCTCTTCAGGGCAGGAAGGACAAGTGGAGGGCGATGCAGGAGCCTGGGAGGGGAGAGCCTCTAGCCATGCCCCACTCAAGCCCTGCCTCCAAGAGGCCCTGAGCAGAGGCCCAGAAAGCCAAGTTGACAATGTGTGCGCTTCCAGCCCTGGGGGTTGGGGAGATGGGAAAGGCTCACATCCAAATACTCAACATTGACTGAGAAGCTCTCGGCCCCAACTGGGCCCTGGACAACAGAGATATGGGCCTGAACATGGACAGATATGTTCTGGGGAGCTCAGGGTGAGACCAGCCACACATGGGGCTCTGCAGGGGACGTGCTCAGGCTCTGGGGCAGGGAAGGGACAGCCCACACAGCATTTGCCCTTCCTGAAAAGCCCACAAGGCTCACTCCTTGTCTTCACCCAGTCTTTGTTCACAAGATGCCTCCCCAGAGCCACTTTCCTATCTAAAAGAGCACACTCTCCCTCCTACCACCTGCCATGCTCCATCCTCCTCCCTTCTTCGTTGTTTTTTTGTTTTTGTTTTTTGTTTTTTTTTTTTGCACAAATCACTACCTGGCATTCTTTTATATTTATGTCTTTGTCTGTCTTTGCCGCCTCCTTCTAGAATGTAATCTCCACATGAAAAGGACTTTGTTTCATTCGCAGCATAGATGGGGGCCTAGAATAGTGCCTGGCACCTGGTAGATGTTTCACAGCATTCCCTAGCTGAGGCTGGGAGGGCCAGCAGGACTCAGCTGGAAGTCACGTGGGGCCCCTTTAACAGGCTGAAGGGAAAACAGCAGCAGTGGGAGGCAGTGATGGTTCTGGCAGAGGTCTGGGGGAAACTGAATGCCACTGGGGTGTTCCCATGTGAGACCCCATTCAGACACAATTGGCCTCCCGCAACTGCCCACTTCCCTCGCCACCCTCCATCCCTGCCCAGTCTAGCCCAGTAGTTACCACAACCGATCCCGGCAGATGTAGTGTCATCGGGGCCTCTCCAGCCAACAGGATGAACTCTGGCCTGGAAAACTGGAGGAAAACAGTCACATATGGTAGAGAAGACAACAGATTCCAGGCTTTGGGTCTGGGCTTCCCCCATGATGCACCTCTGCAGCCCCCACCAGCATACATTCCCCAGAGCCAGCAGAAAACAGGCCAAGATGGGGCTGACCTGGGCTGAGGCCCCAGCTGAATGGTACATCTTGGAGCAGAAGTCTTACAGGTGGGTATAGGGTATCAGCAACATTCTGGCTCTTAAGTTGGGTACAGGGGTGTTCGGGGTGAATTATAAGTTTCATAATTTACACAGAACTCCATCTTTTGTATGTATCAAAAGTATAAAATGTATAATATAAATATAAATGCAATAAAAATACTTGAAAAAACAAAAATACTTTTAGATTTAGATGAGCTGAAATGTTTTCTAGCTCTAGATGTTGAATCAATAGCTTAGTGGGCACCTCTTGTTCTCAGTGTGTTTGTATTACACTTGACCCAGAAAACACTGCAATACCCATCACTAGCTAGACCCAGCTATCCCCCTGTGGGGTGCATATTCTCAACCCATTTTACAGGTGAGGAAGTTGAGGCTCCTCACCTTTAAAAAAAAAAAAAAAAGCTTAAGAAGCTCACCTGAGTCATATAACCAGCAAGAGATAGGGTTGGGTAGGGCTTCTATAGTGCCCCCAAGGGTACCTAGCAGGACTCTTGTCCCAAGAGGCCAAAATTCCAGCCCAGAAGTGACTTGTGTCCTGCAAGAGTTCCCAATAGAAGTATCTCTAGTGAGTGATCAGGAAGAAAAGCCAAAGGAGGTGGACAAAGCCTCTCAGAAGCCCTCTTCACGCCCTCCACCAAGTTCATGGAGGCCAGAGAAGGGCCAAGGAGGACAGTGCGGGCCAGGCCAGCGTATGGGAACCATAGGCCAAACAGGAAGAGGGACATCCTGAGGCTATTTGGAGCTCAGCTCAGTCAAGGGACCTTAACTAACTTTGACAGACAGACAGGCACATTCCGCCTAACCCTATTACCCTCTTAGGGTTAGCCAGCTGGAAGGATAACTCTCTCCTCCCTATAGAAGCCCTCCCTGCGGCCCTGGATCTATGCTCCCACCTTTCACCTGTGCAGAAGGCCCCTTCCAAACACATTCTGCCTTGTCAGTTCTCGAATCATGTAGCACGCTCTGCCACCACCCTGCGCACCGGTGGCTTCCTCTAGGGTGGGACCCAGCATCTTTAACCCTACATCTTATACAGCGTCCCCCATAGAGCCTTCCCCAGTGAGGCTACTCAGTGAATGCCTATGCCCTAAGTTGCAAATTTCAGGTTTATGTTAGTCCAATCCTATAAACCTCAGCCCAGGGAAGTTGTCCCCTAGAAGACCCTGCCCATTTTCAGCCACCGTGCCAGCCACCCACAGCTCCCTGCTCAAGCCTCCTTGAGGAGTGTCCTTCAGCCTTATTTTGCTTACCTTGCTCCTTCTTTGCAGAAAACCCCTCTGAGAAGGAGTTGTTGGCCATGAGCTGTCTGCTGCCGAGTGCACAGATCCAGAGCTGAGCCTCCGGCCCGCCTGCTGGTCCTGGGGATCTGCTCCTGGAAGAGCGCTGGCCAGGGGTTGAGAAGGGGTGAAGCACTTAGCAATGGCAAGGGCTTCCATGGCATGAAAGACCACCCGCACAGGGGCTCAGTTGGGCAGGGTGCACCCACTGATGCATGTCACCTTCTCCCCCACCTATGGGGGAGTTATATCCATTTTTCAAGTGGGGGAAGCTGAGGCCTGGAGAAGCCAGGCTGCACAGCCACTGGGGTGGGGTGGGGTTGGAGGTACAAGGCACAGTCGACTTCTCCACCCCATGGCTTTACCTCTCTGTTTGTGGTGCCAGGACCCCAGGTCTAGAGCAACCACCCAGCAGGTCATGGGACTGCAGCAGTTCTGGCTTCTTTAGAATTTGATATGTTGTTCAAAATATTTTGACAATAAAATATATTGTTTAAGGAATCAGGGGGTAAAAATTGTTTTCATTGGGAAAATAAAGTTTTAAATGGCAGGAAAAAGTATTGCAAGATAAACTCTACGATATCCAATCAGGGCGTCAGCTGTGGATTTGACATCAACTATGACAAGACACTGTTACAGCCCTCAACAGGTCACCATGTGAATAAATAAATCACCCAAACTTCAAAATAAACACCGTTCCAGGTCCAGGAAGATATGAGCCCATCTAGGTTTTGATCTGATTCAAGCATCCTAAGTTAGACAATTGCAAAAATGTCCACAGTTCTTCTCCCTGATCTGCACCCTTTGCAATCCGACTTTGCAGCCTCCTGCCATCAAGAGATGGAGTCTATTTCTTACTCCTTGAAATGGGGCTGGCCTTTAGGCCTGATATGGCCAACAGAATGAAGTGGAAATGATGGAAGACCAGTTCTGAAGGCTTTATGCACCTTGCCGTCCTCTCTCCTCTCTCTCCTCTTTCTCTCTGTCTCTCTGTCTCTCTCTCTCTCTCTCAGTTCCTCTCTGTCAGTTCTGCCATTGTCACGAGAACAATCCTAGGCTGACCTGCTGGTGGAGGAGAGCCAGAGCTTCCCAGACAATGGCCATTCACCCCGCAGGAGAAGCTGGATAGCCGAGCCGAAGACAGTCAAAAAGGCAGGAAGGCTTTCAGCAGAGTCTAGAAGACCTCCCAGCTGAGCACAGCCTAAATGACCAACTCACAGAATCATGAGCTAAATTCATAATTGTTGCTTTTAGCCACTGTGTTTTGTGGTTGCTTGTTATGCAGCATGGTATGGCAATGGATAATGGCAACAATATTGAGGCATGTTGTTGCTCCGCCACTCGGCCTGAGTATGGTTCCCAGAGGAAACAGGATGCCCTGACAGCACAGCTGCCACCAGGCCCCTCATTATCTTGGCTTCGGATCTGCTTAAATGTGGCTTCTTCATCTGTTAATGGAATAGCATTGGCATTTTCTGGAGGAGCAAGAGGCTTCTTACTAATAATCAGTAAAGAAATAAGGTACCATAGCCCCCACACCTATGTCTCACATCAAGTTCACAGCACCCTTTAGGCCTTGCTGCTTACCGGTTAACAAGGAGGCTGCAGTGACTGTGTGTCAAGGTGCTCCAATGGGGCTCTGGTGAGCTCTGGGTCTCCGTGCTTCTTTCTGAAACTAATCAAGCAGCATGGTAGAGGGTATGGGCAGAAGCCAAGATCACGGCTTTCTTAAATCAGGCATCTCAGAGCATGAATGGCATCATGACTTACTAGCTGTGTGACCTTGGTGAAATTCCTTAGCCTCTCTGAATCTGTTTCCTCATGTAGAAAACAGAAATGACAGTTACAGAGGGTTGGAGGGAGGGTTACAAGGGAAGATAAAGCCTAATGGCAAAGTGCACTTTGTTTTAGAGACAACAAACAATAACATTAATTTTTTTAAAAAAAGCTCAGATTTAGTTGAAAAGTAGAGAACAGTAGATTTGAAGATTATTCCAAAAACCACTCTTTTAACACACCCAGAACAATAACTGAAAAAAAAATCAAGTTTTTCTTTTCTTGTTGTTTGTTTCAATTTGGATTTTCTCAACTTGGACAGTTAGAACTCATTTTTAAAGTTTTCATTTGATATAAATAACTGTGTTGTGTCCCCAAATAAGACTTTCCTGGGAACACAGGTGAGTCCTAAGCTCAGCCCCTTCTCTTCAGGGGCTTCCTGAAAGAGTGGCACTTACATAGGCTTTCTCTGCCATCACAATGTGGATGTGTAGCCCATACAGGGCAGGAAAAAATAGAATGGGTACCATCAGCCCACGCAGGGACTGCTTAGGGCACGTACCCACCTCTGCAAGGATGCAGACACTCCGGGGCCTGTGCCGCTGGGCTCTCGCTGCTTGTCCCACGCAGCCTCTTCCTGAGCAGGTAGCTTCTGTTCTGCTGCACAGAGGAGCTTTCCTCCACAACTCTTTTCTCCACCTGGGGGTCAAGTGCATCACACATCCACATCCCAAGATAAGGAGGGGGCGTTTTTATAGATACATGCAAACTGGCTGTCAGACTGAATCAATGTGGAATTGTCTGCCCTATACGGTGACCTAAAGATGTGTTCTCTGGCACCCAGAATGTGCTCTGTGCCCACCCCCTGCATGCACCCTGAAGGCACTTCACTCCCCACTCCAGACCTGCACACTCACACACATCTGTGCCTTTGCTCATGCATTCCCTCCATGGCTACAGCCTCCCCAGAAGCTCCTCTGTGCCCACAAGACCCAGAGCTGTGTGCTTTCTACTTCTAAGCCTCTCTACCTCTGCCGTCTGATCACCTTCCCTTATCACTGCACTCACACCTGGCTCTGTTGCATCATGTTCCATGAGTGTGCTGCTTGTCTGTCTCCCCCAACATCTCTGTGTGCTTTATGCACCACCGTAGCACACCTAATGCAGTGCCCAATGAATGTTGAATACGTGACTGACATCTACCTTGCAGATCCCTGACGGAAATGTTGCAGGTCAGTACACTGTCTATCCAAGGACAATGGCACACCAGTGGATGGTAGACCTCAGTATCTTTCAAATAAATATAGTCCATTTCCCCCACCAAATCCTCTGGCTCAATTCATAGGAGCCACATGTTCCTATGCCAAGAGAGAAGGGGTCCAAGAAGGAGGCCTTCTCTGATGGCAGAGGCCTTCTCTGATTGACTGTTGCCGCTGTCCACCCTGCTGTCCCCACATCTCCATCCACTTTGGCCCTCATTAATCCTGCTCTCAGCTCTCCAACTTGTCCCTGGACAAGTGCAGCCACTCAACTGGCCTCTAGCTTACCTGTCTCTGGTTCCTCCCAAATACAAACTTCCTTACATTTTGTGCCATAGGCACCTCACTTGCCCATCCTATCCCAGCTCCACTCAGGTCTCATGGGGGACCAACTCCATGGTGCCATTCCTGCAACAGAGCTCCCCAGGGGGCCAGGCTGGGCCTGTCTCCAGCTGAGACTATATCCTTCAACTTGTCAGCTGTACTACCATCACTCCCCTCTCCCAGGAACATTTCCCCAGTAAATAACTTGCACAAGAATCCCTGTCTCTGGGTTAGCTTGGAGGGAATCCAACCTAAGCCAAATGCCTCCCATGTGCCAGGCCCCTTGCTGCACTCTGTGGAGTGCACAGGGCAGCAAGCAGCACAGTGTGACAAGCACAACAAAGGACACCCCACAGGTATAAAATAGCAGAGGGGAGGGTACCCAGGGACCACAAAAACGAAGTCGGGGAAGGCTTCTGTGCAGAACCTAGAGTTGAATTTTGATAAGAAAACTGAATCATGGGTTCTAAACATTATTGCTTTATGTAAGGACGCACTTGCAAAGATGTCAAGGGTCTTAGCCATGTGACAAACTGGGGCTTGCCTAAAGGTCTTTGTTAGCACTGCCCAATAGAACTGCAATGACAAGAATGTTCTAGATCCACCCTGTTCAATAGGGTCATCACCTGCTACGAGTGGCAACGGAGCACTTGAAATGTGACAGATGTGACTGATTAATTTAATTTTTTATTTTATTTTAGTTAATGATAATATAACTAATTCAAATTTTAATAGCCACACATGACCAGCAGCTACTGCTTGAAAAGCACGGTTCTCTACTGACCTCAGAAATGGTACCCAGAACCAAGCCAACCAGCCTTCTGATGTGGAGACCAGCAGGGGCTGGGTAGACAGACACTTCTTTCTCATGAACCCGACAAGCTTCCAGAACCGACTGCAACGTGCACCGCCTGTGAGGCTGGTCTTCACACATGGTCAGCAGGATGGAGTGCAGGGGCTCGCAGAGCTGCAGGGGCTGGAGGCAGACAGGGCCGGTGAGAGGAGAGAGCAGCCAGAGCTGCCACTACGAGGCCAGCACCTTGTCAGGCAGGCCTTGGAGACATGGAAACGGGTGTTCCCACAAGCACCAGAGCAGATGCCTGCCCCTTCTGGAGAGTTTAAGGACAGACACAAGATCCATCACTGAGGCCGCAAAGTGCGGAGCAATCATCTCTGCAGCAATTCTGTGTTGTCTGCTGCTTTCTAAACCAGAACATCCTTCTGCCCAAGCACATGCTTGGAATGCTCATGAAAACTAGATGCTTTGACAAGATGGATTTCCACCTGTGCCAAGCACCCCAAATCAAACCAGAGGTCAGCCTTTCACTCAAGTTCACCTGCGTAGCTTGTCATTGTATCCAATCACTCAGGGGGTCTCACTTGGCCTTTCCCCTGGAATGTGAGCTCCTGGAACATACAGACTGTGGCCTATTCCTGTTCACTTCGGAACAGCCAGCAGTCAGCACAAATGCTCAATCGTTGTTGGTTGAACTTTATGTCACGTGTACACATCGAGCAAAAGAAAACAGAAGCATCTTATAAGCATTTCCCTCATGCATTTAAATGACCACAATTCATAGGAGAAAGTCCTCAAATTCAGATTCAAAATCAGACTTTTTCTCAAGCTCAACACACACTGCAGGTCACTTTCCAGATAAAGGCTGCACTACCGCTTCTTGCTGGGGAGCATCAGCTGTGAGCACCTATCTCTGTGTACAGCCAAGCTGCTGAGTCCTGCCGTCACAGTAAATCCAGGCGTCTTTTGTGCCTGGTGCTGCACAGCCACACCAGATACAGTCCCTGCCTTCAGGAAAATAATGGTGTGATGAGAGAGACGGTCACTAAAAGAGACAAAGACCATAGAGGATGACAAGGACTTTCACCTTGGGAAGCACAGGCCATGGCACTAATGTAGAGGAAGGGGCTTAGCCAAGGCTAGAGTTAACCAAGAGGAAAGTGGGGAGTGAGGTGCTGGTGAAGGGATCCGTGTGTACAAAGGCACGAAGATGCAGATGAGCTGACATGCATCTGAAGGGAAGGGGATTATGAGCAGGACAGGGGCCTGGGGGAAAATAGCAATGTGGGGTCCCTTGTTCAAAATTATTAAGAATTCCAGGACAGTGATAGCAGAGCATTAAACTAAGTGCAGGACCCTGTGCTATGACACAGGGTCACACACTCAGGACACACACCCAGGAAGCCGGTCCTGATTATGGCAGAGTGCCAAAGGGGAACCAGACGGGAGCAGGGACCCTATCCTAGGCTCCAGGTGTGTCTCACTGAGAAGTCAGAAGGCAACCCCACGGCCAGTGAGGCGTTACAAAAGGTTGCATGTGAGAGTGGTCGTGAGCTGGTCTCTTAGAAAGACCACCCAGGAAGAGCCCGGATGTTGAATTGGAGAGGGTCGGGGTGAGTAGAAAGAAAGGCAGGAAGGAAGGGAGGAGGAGGGAGGGATCCAGTCTAGCCAGGTCAGCTAGGCAGGGCTCTCCAGCAGGTGTTCTTGTGGCACCAGTCTCTAAGGAATTGTTATAGTATCAGATGGAAATGTACACAAACACTTCTATTCTGTAGTTGAAAATTGTGTAAAATATTAGGATATTTTTATGTAGTTCTTTTTTGAGACAGGGTTTTGCTCTGTTGCCCAGGCTGGAGTGCAGTGGTTTGATCTCCACTCACTTCAACCTTCCCCTCCCGGCCCCCGGGGTTTAAGCGATTCTCATGCCTCAGCCTCCCAAGTAGCTGGGACTATAGGCATACACCACCACACCCAGCTAATTTTTTTATTTGTAGTAGAGACAGGGTTTTGCCATGTTGGCCAGGCTTGTCTCGAACTCCTGAGCTCAAGTGGTCTCCCCACCTCAGCCTCCCAAAGTGCTGGGACTATAGGCGTGAGCCACCATGGCCAGCCAGGATAAAGTTAAGTTTCTAAGCTTTAAGCCTTCTTGTAGTTTTTAAAAAATGACTCTAAAAAATCTTTGAGAGGGAGATATTGTAGGGAGCATTTACCCAAATCTATTGAGCCCAGAAGCCTTTTTCAGGGAAGCATCTCACTTTGGGAAGGGTTGTTTTAAAGCCTTTTTAAAATATATGTAAATCTGTATCTTCAGTGTCTATAAAATTCTCTAGCTTGCTATTAATACTTCCTCTGAGCGGAGATGGCCAAACTTATCCTGCTTGCCAGTCCCAAATTGTGGCTGCCTGGAGTGCTATGTTGAGTGGGATTCTGAGGTTGTTTCTGCACTAGCAGGAAGGAGTTGTGTGATAAGTTCTCAACGCCTGCCTAGGACCTAGAGGACGGGAGAGTGGCATTATGTGTGCTCAGTAAATGTGGTCCCTGCCCAGGAGAAAACCACTAAATAAACCCAGAGACACAGCCCGGCAAGACTTGGAGTATCTTGTTTACAAACCTGATGTGGCGGAACATGAAACCCTGCTGACCAGTAGAGGGTCATTCCTAAAGAATAGACATGCATCTGCCCAAAAGAAGAGTACATGATTAGATTTCAATCATCTCTGTTATTCCATGGCTCTGCAAGAAAAATACAATCCAATTTCCACATGAACAGACACTGTTGTCTGGCGAGTCTAGCACCATCTGCAACTCCCTTAACCCTTGTTACCTCCTACTCCGGAGGCTAGAAAGCCAGAAATTTGCTTTCTAGCAGAAACCATGACACTCAGTTTTGGTGAAAGGCGTGAGAGAAATCTGTTAGGGGGCTTCTGATAAGGCTTTTGCTTTACTGACAAAAGGACACATGTGACTGGCCCCACACTTTCCCCTTTGTTCCTGCCTTCAAAATTGATGTGATTGATACATGGAGTCTTCGCAGCCATTCCGTGACAATGAGGCAGCAAGCATAGGACAGAAAGCCAGCCACTGGGGAAGGTAGAATGGAAATACACAGCCTGGATCCTTGATGACATGAAACGGCTGCTGACCAATCCCTAGACCTCTTGTTTAGTAACTAACAACCATATCTTTGGCCCTGGCCATTGTATTTTAGGCCTTCTGTTTCCATGACACATTACAGTTCAGCCTGATTACAAAGCACCATATCTTGTCAAGAAGCAAAATGATGTCATGGGAAGAGCATTGTTTGACATCTCTGACCCTCAGTTTCTTCATCTTAAAAATGAGTATTCTGCCTGAATTCTAATAAAGATCAAGTCAAAAGTACCCGAAGGTGGTAATATTAACTATTATTATTGTTACCATTATTATTATTGGACATAGAGCACTTACAATATACCAGGCCTTGTTCTAAGTCTTTTACCCATATAAACTTATTTAGTCCTCACTGCAATCCTGTGACGTAGGTACTTTAATTGTCCCCACTTGTCTACATGGCCTCTGGATTATACCAGTCCTCAATCAATGTCAGTTGGTGTTTATTGTGGGGCTTCTATTATAACTGACAAGGCACATTTCCCTTAAGATCTCTCTTCTCAGGAAATGATTTTTGGGATTTTAGAAGGAAACAATGAGGTAATGAAACATTGCATGTAAAAACACACAGTTATTTGAGCCCCCCACTTGGTTTAATACAAGTGGTTTTAGTTTTTGGTTTTGGTTGTTCACATCTCAAGGTCAAGATGTGTTCAATGTCACCTGTGACAACTCATTAGCTCTCATCTTTGTTTGAAATTATATCCTGAAACCAGCTCCCACCCCTCAGATGAACGTGCATAGATACCATGCAAGAAAGTTCACAAGCTGCACCCCCATTTCCAGAGAAAGGACCCAAAGAGCAGGGGCTTGGTAGGCAGCCACTTCTTTCTCATTACCCAACAAGCTCCCAGAACCAATTGCAGTGACTGCCACCCGCAAGGCTGGTCTTCCCACACGGTTAGCATGATGGAGCATAGAGACTCATGGAGCTGCAGGGACTGAAGTGCAGACAGAGCTCCAGCATCCTGAGCACTGCCAGAGGCACCACCCACACCTGGGAGCTCACCTGGATTCTAAGGGCTCTGTCTAAAAGTGTCTTAGGGCAAGGCCTTGGCCACAGTGACAAAAGGCTTCATCCAAAATTCTAAATTCAGCTCACTGGTAGACACTGCCAGTAGAGGCTGGTGAGAAGGATTTTGAAGGCAACTCCTGGCTCAGTGGGAAAGAACACCATGTTTGATTGGTGATGTCTGCCATGAGCATAGGATGGGGTACTGGCAGCACAGATGACTTGTAGTTAGAGACCTGCCCACACCTTCCACCTGACCTGCACCTGAGGCTAAGATGCCAAGTAGTTGGGGAAATATGTCAGTGCACTGTTTAGGGCAGATGTTGGTCCAAGGAGAGGGGTCTGGGTACACCCTCCCAGCACCAGAACGAGGCCCAGGACTGGGGGAGGATTCTGAGCACAGCCTGTCCAGGGACCATTCTCCTAGCTCCTAGCTGCCCAACCAACCCCTCATGGACCCATGCCAAACTGGATGAAGAGAGGAGCCTGTAATGAATGGAAAAGAACAGTGATGAACAGAACTGAGTGTTAGAGATGCTGAAAGAGATCAAGTTACCTGGTCACTCTGCCTCCTTGCCTAATAAACAGGGCTTGAGGCTGGTGGCTTTGGCCCCTTAAAGCCCACTCCACTTGCCATGCTTCATATGCCTAGAGCGCTAAACCAATGTTTGGTTAGTTCGGAGCTCAGTCCCTCTCATACTGGATCTCTTCCAGCTCACACTCACTCTCATCTTCCTGGCCAGGACTCAGCAATACATTTAGCCAGTTCTTAACTCAACCTATTAGTCTTGAATCTACTGGAGTCCTCGTGCCTCTGCCTGGAGGAAAGTGTGCAGGAGGAAGGAACATATTATTTTCCAGCTCAAAGACGCTCTGGGCAGAGAAGTGACTGGGCCTTCATAAGGTACTCAATGGAGGCCAACCTGCAATCAGGAGGGTGATGCCTGATCCTAACCAGTGAGTACTGGGATGGTCAGGAGCACTCAAATCTGTGTTAGCTCAGGTACATCAGAAAGTGGAGCCTGAGGCAAGGGTTAAGTGCAGACCCTTCACTCAGGGGCTGCAAGCCCAGGGCAATGACAGTGTAGAGAAAATGGGAAGGGAGACAGGGACCAATGTGATATGCAGGGTCAAAATGCTGGCCATCTCCTTGCAACAAGCAACAGAGCACAGCCTGAAGTGCAGCAGACAGGGCTTCCTAGCACTCAGGACTTCTCTAGAAAGCTTGCAAGGCTTGCACAGCACAAAGCCATCCACAAGAGAAAGAGGAGGGAAAACGTATCCTCTTAGGTCCCCTCCAGACTCTCATTTACCACTGGCTAAGTGTCCCCCATAAGAAGGTAACTCCCCTGCATTCTCAGGTTGCATTGGCGTGGTCCTTTAGCAGTCACACAGAAATCCCAGTCCCAGGGGTCAATATGTGACATCTTAGCTGAGTCCAGGGCATAAGAGGCAACTCAGTGTAGGTGGAGCCAAGAGTCCCAAACAGACCTGAGAGGCACGCAAGTCTGTGTCCAATCCAGGAATCAGTGATTCACCCCTGGGGTCCTGGCAGTGTAAGAAGGTATGTGGGCCTGGATGCCAGAGTGACTTCCAGGATTTCAGGGGGGAGGGGGTGCTGGAGCTGGGGTCACTGGAACTGGAACTCTTATGCTTTCACTTTTGTGGGCTGACTTACAGACATGTGGACCCAGACAAACCAAATCTGGAAACCACCACATCCCCATTCTCTGCCTTTCAGAGCCTGGAGGGAAAGCAGCTCCCATTCCAGAATGCCTCCCGAGGGTAGCAGCATTTTCACATCTGCACTTTTCTCATGAAAGGGCGAGGAAGAAGAAACAGAACTCTCTGCGGAAACACCCACCATGCCCCATCCAGTGTTGTGTGGCTGCCTTGCACCATTCTCTCCTTTGAGAGAATTAAAATTCTCTTTGAAATTAAAAATGATGTTTACTGGAAACTTCTGCTGTTCAGAAGCAAAACATGTCCATTGTTGAAAAACCAAAAACCTCCACTGATGTTGCCATCCAGAAACAATCACCGCAGACACTTTGGTGTATGTATTTTTAGAACTTCCTCTCTCTCTCTCTTTCATCCTCTCTAACCAAACTTGGATAATATTATGTGCACATATATTGAATTTCTTTTCAATACATTAAATAAGCTTCTACAGCCTCATTTTAATGGTGTTTTGTCTCATGTCCTCTCCCACTCACTATTTAGCTTGTTTTCAATTTATCACTAACGTCAGCAATACAACAATCAGCATTGCTGCAGCTAAATTTATCTTTACTTGTGCCTTAGAATAAATTCCTAGTTGAGGACGTGTTGGGTCATTTTGAGGTGTCTTGCTACATACTGCCAATGGTAACAATGTGCCAGACCACTTAACCACAGCTTTTCAACACTTCTTTTTGAATATTGATAATAACCTGATCAATTAAGCCACATTAACCCCATTTTACCAATGTAGAAATTGGGGCTCAGAGAAGTGGACTTGCCCTTGTCCATGAGCTAGTAAGTTGTTGACAAGAAATCCTGGGAATAAAACTCTTGAAACCCACTCTGGCTTGGTGTTGAGAACCAAGCTCTGCAAGGCTGAGCTGGGAGCTGGGGAGGCTGCCGCTGGGACAGGCCTTTCCCAGGGCACAGGACTCAGAAGTTGCAGAGTAGCTGCACAGCTTACCTGAGATGCATCAGGCTGCTCATCCTCACTCTGTCCCTGTAGCAGTTCAGGGGCCTTGAAAGGAGCAGCCTCTATATGAGAAACACGGCCTTGGAAAGAAAGGCTTCCAGCTGCAGAAAGCAGGGCTGACCAGGGGCAAACCACATAGTCCGAGGAATCTGAAACCAAGCCAGTGATGGGGCTGTAGAGACAGAGCTTCCATCTGGGGTGCCAGCATGGGACTGTGCCCAGCAGGTGCCTGGCAGTACCCATCTCTGGGACTGAATGTGAGCAAGACCCAGAGGAGACATGGAACAGAATAAATTCAACCCTGATGCATGGGAACATGTATAATAAAAGGTGACTGTGGCCATGGCCAGGAAGTTAGCACCTGCACCTAAATTCATCTGTGGCCCAAGAGTCTCAAGGTAAAAGGTAAAGAGAGGGTCAGGCACACCTGGAATTTAGCACAAGCCTGAGTTCTCTAGAGACAGACCAGGATCCAAGGCAGCTGGTCTTCTGGGAGCTCCGTAGCTGTTCATCAGAACCTCCAGGGTGGGGAAGAGGGAGAAGATGACGCTGAAGGCACAGGTGCACAGCCTCCTCCATAGGCCCATGCTGGGACCCATCGCCCTCACAGAACATGTGTAATGTTTCACTCCAGGAGCCTCTGCTGTATGCACTGAAGCCCCCAAGCACGTGTGACCTGTGAGTTGACACCTGAGTGTGGGTACTCAGCATTTGTTCTGGACCTTAATGCCTAGGAGCCCCATAGTCATCCTTGGATACCGCTACCTTAGGTCTCTCCTGTACTGAGAGCACAGTGTGCAGCTTTCTCATTAGAGGGCTCTGAAGAGACACTATAGGAGGCCTTATTACTGAGAGCACAGTGTGCAGCTTTCTCATTAGAGGGCTCTGAAGAGACACTATAGGAGGCCTTATCTCTCCCACAGTTTCTGGAGTTAGTGCAAGTGTGAGGCCACCTGGAGGTTGGGCTCTGTACAGAACACATGCCCAGGATGTGAGGTCACTTGGCCACCTCAAGGCCGGAACTTGACATGTGACCACCTTCTCAAATCTACACAGGACTCTAGCGGCCCTCCTGCCCACACCAACCTCCAGAGAGGTGACTCGCCCGAGCCCACCTACACCCTAAAGGGTCGCCCCAACCCCCACCTGCAGTGCGTGCTCCCTACCTGGCCACCGGTGGCTATTGCCTGGGCCATGACTGCAGACCACCTCTGGCAGGGCACACCAGCAAATTCTACCATCATCATGGGCTGCAAGCACAGCTCCTCCCACAGATCTGAACCCCAAACAGGGAAGGGGGCTTCCCTTCAAAGTTTATCCCTCACTGGGTACCTGCCCTCAGCCTTAGGAGACCCACTAGCATTTTCTTTTTCTTTTTCTTTTTTTGAGACAGAGTTTCGCGCTCTTGTCACCCAGGCTGGAGTGCAATAGCGCGATCTCAGCTCAGTGCAATCTCTGCCTCCCGGGTTCAAGTGATTCTCCTGCCTCAGCCTCCCAAGTAGCTGGGATTATAAGTGCACGCCACCACGCCCGGCTAATATTTTGTGTGTGTATTTTTAGTAGAAACAGGGTTTCACCATGTTGGCCAGGCTGGTATTGAACTCTTGACCTCAGGTGATCCACCCGCCTCGGTCTCCCAAAGTGCTGGGATTACATGAGTAAGCCACCACACCAGCGTTTTCTTATGCCTTACAGTTGCTCTTCAAACACTGTTTAGTAATTCTTTCTATTAACCTCCCCTGTTTAGAACACAGAGTAGGTCTGCCTTTTTTTTTTTTTTTTTTTTGAGATGAGTCTTGCTCTGTTGCCCAGGCTGGAGGGCAGTGGCACAATCTTGGCTCACTACAACCTCTGCCTCCTGGGTTCAGGAAATTCTCCTGTCTCCGCCTCCCGAGTAGCTGAGATTACAGGCGAGCGCAACCATACCTGGCAAATTTTTTTTTTTGTATTTTTAATAGAGATGGAGTTTCACCATGTTGGCCAGGCTGGTCCCAAACCCCTGACCTCAGGTAATCTGCCCACCTTGGCCTCCCAAAGTGCTGGGATTACAGGTGTGAGCCACCGTGCCCAGCCAGGTCTGCCTTCTGATGGGGCACAGACTAGTGCAACATCTGGTGGACAGAGTGTAGGGGTGTCCTGGGTGACCACACCCTGCCTCTCATCTCTGGTTATGCCCAGAGACAGCCCATGTGCTGTTAGACACCCATAGCACTGCAGCCACTCTCTTCCTAAATCCTCCCAGCTTTGCATGCCTGGAAATGCTGCAACACCAAGGCAGAAGCAAAGCCTTTCTTTTGACTCTGCCACATGGCATGGGTCCAAGAGTCAGGCCTGCCCTCCCAGTGCAGCTCCAAGGATAGGTGCTATTCTTCTACTCATTCTAATACCTCAGAGTAATCACAGATCAAGCAGCAGCAACCTTGTTCTGTGCTCTCAGAGGTTGATTTAAAAAAGCAGCAGCAGCCAGAACTGTGTTTGTGTGGGAAGCTTCACATACAACTCCCTGTGATTTGACTGCCCCCAAACACTCTCTTACCGTTGCGGAGGTCTTCCAGGAGCTGCTCAGCGGCCAGGAACAGGAGGGACCAGATTTCCTCCTCAGACAGAGCTTCACCCCTGACCTGTAGGGCGCTGGCCAGCGTCACAGAGGACAGGCTCATGCCTACAATAAAGACATGCATGTGACAGGGCCTCTGCAATGTCCAGGAACATGTCCGGGCCCGTACTCGCCACTCTGGTGCAGCCAGGCATGGTCTGGCCACTACTGCACACCGGCACTGTGTTTTCAGCACCTGGGTCCCTGGGGTCAGGCACAGAGCCAAGCACACAGAGGAGTTAAAGAAATGTTAATTGGAGGACTGACCAGGTTGGCTGGTCGGTTCTCAGTGAATGAGTAAACAAACAATAAAACTCCCAAATGAAAGGTTAAATGAATAAATAAATGAACAACCAAATGAAACATGAGAACAGCACCTCCCAGCTGGGTGCGAGCTGTTGCAGAGAGTAACCTACACCTGGGTAGTGTGTGGCCTCCTCTCCTTCTCTCTCTGGAGAAGTTAGCTAACATTTTTGCCTGCAGTACGTGATTCACATCTTTCATCTCTGGCTGCCACATGTAGAGTCAGATTTGGTGCCAGTACCACCCCTTTCTCCAGCACCTGCCTGAAGTGCCAGAGCGACTCACTAGACAGAAGTATAAGCCCCATGTTTCAGAAAGGGGCAGCCTCACAGATAAACTGGAGGAGGCTCAAGAGGGCTAGTCTTCTCTTCCCTCTCTTCTGGTAAGCAGGGCCTTTAGACCAAAGCTGATGTTTAAATGTCTATCTCCCTGACAAAGCTGCCACCCACTAATCTCCAGAGACCCAGGTGCTGAGTGGCACCGGAAGAAGCCAGGCGGGCTTTTCCTAATCCATTTACATCCTCACTGATCTTTCTCTACAGCCAGAGCTCAAGCAGGGCGGGTGTGCAGTGTCGGGCGCTAGATGGGGAGCACATAGAGGCACCCCCATCCCCCATTGACACACTAATCCAAGATCTACTCCCCAGCTGCCCAGCTCCCTGCAGACACCTCTGCTACCAGCCTCCTCCAGCCTCAGGAAGAGAGGCTGGTTTCAGGAGAAAGAGGCTTGGTCTGCTACCTCTCCCTGGGGCAGAAAGGGAGCCGCAGCAGGACCCCCTCAGAAAGCTTGACCTGTGAGCCGTCACTTATCACAAGGAGTCTGTGAAGAAGGGAGTATTGTTTCCATTTACAGACAGGAAATAAGTCCAAGGTAATCAAGTAAAAAGTGATGAATTAGAAGCTGAACTCCAGGCCCTCTCTCTTTTTCTTTTCTATTTCTTTTCTTTTTTCTTTCCTTTCCTTCCTTTTCCTTTCCTTTTCTTTCGTTTTTTTATCTCTCCTCTCTCTTTAGAAACTGTTTGAGACTTATGGACTAGGCATTCCTATTCCACCACATTTTTCTAACTCTCTATAGCCACAGTGAAAGGTTGCTTATTAAAGATAAGAAGGGGGAAGAAGAAGACCATGATTCTTATACAAAAAATCTCTAAATCCCAAAATAAAATATTGAATGGGTGGGGTTTTTTAAATTGCTTTATGACTAGACAAAAATGCATTAAAAGTCTTCTAGGCTGGTGTGGATAGTGAAGACCATTATTTCAGTACAATAATTCAATGGAGGGAGGACAAACTTTTCAACAAATAGTTCTGGATCCATCATGGAAAAAAGCTGAACATGGTCCTAAACCTTGCACCTTATGCAAAAATTACTTCAAAATGAATCATAGATTTAATATAGAACATAAAACTATAAACTTTCATGGAGGAAAATGGGAGAAAATATTTAGGACTCATCACAAACAAGGACTGCCCAATAAAATGAACAGCTGATTTCTCATCAAAAACCATGGAGACCAAAAGGCAGTTGGATGACGTATGGTCTTAACTAGCCACACCAGCCTCAAACACTTAATGCATTTTTTTCTAGGCACAAAGCAGTTAGAAAAACCCCACCCAATATCAAAATACTTGGAGGGGAGACTGTCAAACAAGAATTTGGTAGACAACAAAGCAATCAATCCTTCAAAACTGAAAGAGAAATTAAGACCTATTCACATAAACAAAAATTGTGCAAATTTGTTGCTAGCACACCCTTCCCTCCGAGAAATCCTAATGGAGTCCTTCAGACTGAAATGAAAAGACACTAGACAGTAACTCAAATCCACATGAAGAAATGGGAGCACCCATAAAGATAATAACATAGGTAAATGTAAAAGACAATAAAAATGTATTTTGATTGGAACCCTTTTTTCTCCTATCAGAATTTTTTTAAAAGGAGCATCCAACATCTGGAAAAGCACATAACTGATCGGGTTTGCCAATCAAGCACCCTTCTTTTTGTTAAAGCTAAGAGTCACTAGAGGCTTGAAGTTGCTGTTTTTGTTATTGGACGTGTCAGGATCACAACTTCCATATCAAATATAACCATGATCCAGGAGTCAGTGACAGGAAATTACTCATCACCCTTTCAATTAAAAAAAAAAAAAGTTGTCATGCTTGTTCCAATGCACAAGCACGATCCCTCTACAGAAGGAAATGTGTGCATTCCAGTTTTCGGCACCAACTCCCTGCCTGACCAACCACAGTGTTACGGTGGAATGTTATGATCTGTCCGCAGTGGCAAGTTGGTTTCTGAAGAGTGCAGGAAGCCTGGGAACCATCCAGAGCTCTGAATTTCCCTGGCTGGCCTCAGGACTACAGTGTGGGTTATGAATAATCTGCAAGCTAGCAGGTAGGCCAAGATTTGTATCGCTGCTAGGCAAAAATGCAAATTCCTTTTCTTGACCTGAGAGGTCTGGCAGGCAGATGAGCCCTGCCCACCTCTCCAACTCCACTTCCCACCTCCCTGTCCCTTGCTTACCACCCTCACCGTGTTCCATCACACTGGGCTTGTGATAGATTATGAAGTAAGATAATTCTCTACACTAGCCCACCAGCCCTTAACAACCAGCCTGGACTCACAATTAACATTGTTATCTCTGTGTGATATTGTGAACACTATTTCAAAGCCCACTGCTACTTCCTTGAACGACAATACACTTCCATAGCATTTACTGTACGCCAGGCACTGTTCAGAGTGCTTTATGTGCTAACTCATTTAAGCTTCATGACAGCCTTCTGAAATAGGGCTATCATCATGCCCATTTTAAAGATGAGGAACAAAGAGGTTAAGTGACTTGGCCAGTGTCACACAGCTTGGACTTGGGTTTACGCTCTTGGTCTCAGAGGCAGAGCTCTTCCCCACCATATTATGCTGGCTGTGGAAATGCTGTGAAGCACTTTATGGGGCCTGTAATCTCAGGCTATGAAATAGTCATTAGCCTTTAGCCATCACACCAAGATGCCTCTGGGCTCCTCTCCAAGTTTTTCATGGTCTGGTGGGCTGTATCATGCACTGAAAAGGGGATCATTAACTATGTAAAGGATGCAGGGATCCCACTGCGTAGAGAGATCTGACAGTGAGGATGTTCTGGGAAAGCATCCAGTCAATGGGCATTTTGGGGGGGCCCCTCCACTACCCTTATCTCTCATACACCTTCCCAGATCTCACCTACATAGACTGACCCTCTATACTGACTCCACTATCTGAAGGCTTCGGGGCTCATCTAGTAGCATAGAAGTCTTCTTTGCCATTGGAGATCCCACTAGCCCATCCAGAAGCTTCTTTGGGCCCTTTCCAATGAGTTTCCAGGCTGAGGAGCATCCTGTTTGCCAGGACTTGCTTTTATTGGCCTTAGCCTGTAGCAGCCCCTCTCCCTGGCATGCCTCGGGCTAGAATCTTTTCCCTGCCCTTGATCTTTAGTGCTTCCACTTGGGCCTCCCTCTCCCATGTGCCATGGCAACAGCAGCCCTGAGCTTCATCTGTGAGGCTGTCCCTACAGCCTTCCCTCAGCCATTACCACATTTAATAAATACTCGTCAAGGATCTGGTATATTTCAAGCTCTGTACTACCAGTAGAATGAGGAACAATGTTAACAACCTACCCTGAGAGTCATGGGGATGGGCAGAGGGAGACAGCCAACGAGAAGGTAAGCAAATAAAATAATTCTGTAGAGTGATAGACTAATGAAGTAAGAATAGGCAATGCATGATAACAAGCTTTTGGTGTGGGGGACATCTTAGCTGAAGTGGTCAAGGAAGGCACTTCCAGGAGGTGTCACTGAAGCTGAGATTTGGAAGTTGAGAAGGCACCAGCCATGGGAAAAACTTCCCAGGTAGAGGGAAGAGCAAGCACAACAGAGTTTGGCAGATTCCAAGAACTGAGAGAAGCCCGCTCATGGTGAGGGAGGTGAGGGCGGTAAGCCAGGGGTAGGCAGGTGGGAGGTGGAGTTGGAGAGGTGGGCGGGTCCCATCTGCCCGCAGACCTCTTAGGCCAAGAAAAAGAGTTTGCATTTTGGCGTAGGAGCAGTATGAATCTTGGCCTACCTGCTAGTTTGCAGAGCACGTGCAACCCACACTGCAAAGCCAGGGAGAAGCCTTTTGACACTGGCCTGTGGCTGAGTATTAACTAGAAGGAAGGGAGAGTTCCAGAGGGCTGACTGCAAACACCTTAGCTTATCTGATCTTCACCAGTCCTGTAAGTGGAGATGGTTTTAATCAAGGGCAAAGCTCGCATCTGCTCCCTGCCCCCCCACCCAGGAAGAACCCTTGGGTCCCTGTCCCCTAGACAGCTGCCCAGTCAATCCCCGAGTGTCAGCTGCAGGGATCAGCCACCTCACCCGGGCGGCACACCGTATGCATTAGTTGCCAAGATATTTTGCAGCATTTGTAAAGTGCTGGCTTCTGAAGAAGTAAGGATCTCTGTTATCCCTAATTGTATATTGATTGACTGACTATATAGTGGCTTTTGAACTGTGAGATTTTGGTCACATTTCGGTATTTTGTCTTCATTCATCTCCCCTCCCCAACTCTCCATCAAGACACCATCCATGACCTCTGGCCTTCATCTGTGGCTGGTTAGCGAGATTGACAACCCTCTGGAATGCCCTGGAGACACTCCTGCATTGGGACAGAGGTTGGACCAAGGTCTCAGAGGTCCCTAAGGACCTTCTCAGCTCTGGAGCTGAAGGTGCCACTGCCCAGGAAGAGAAGGCATGGAACCAAGGGAAGCAGAGGAGGCCTTGCAGGATGGGGATGAGTCACACAACTCCTGGCCTCGTGGGTCAGGGGACCAGGCCACTGTCTGTCCTTGGAACACTCCTTGTTTCTCCAAACTCCTGGTTTGTCCTCACCTCCTCGGCATTCTTTCTCCCTCTCATGGTCCCTGAAATGTTGTCCCTCAGGATTCTATTTGAGGCCCTGTATGGTTTCCTGTGCCTTCTATAACAAATTACCACAAACCTCACAGACTAACACAAGATAAATTTATTATCTCACAGTTCCAGGAACAAGAAATCCAAAATCAGTTTGACTGGGTTGAAGTCAGGGTGTCCGCAGGACTATGGTCCCTCCACAGGCTCTGACGGAGAATCCTTCCCAGGCCTCCTCCAGCTTCTGCCATCTGCCCGCATTCCTCAGCTATGGCCACATCACTCCAATCTCTGCCTCTGTGGTCACATCGCCTTCTCCTCTTCTGTTTTAAATCTCCCAGTCTTTTTTTTTTTTTCTGCCTGTAACATTCACAGGTTCCACAAATCAGGATGTGGATACCTTTACGGTTTTTATTTTTTTATTTTTTTATTTTATTTACTTATTATTATTATTATTTGAGGCAGAGTTTCATTCTCTCGCCCTGGCTGGAGTGTAGTGGCGTGATCTCGGCTCTCTGCAACCTCCACCTCCCAGGTTCAAGCAATTATCCTGCCTCAACCTCCTGAGTAGCTGGGATTACAGGCTCCCACCATCACTCCAGGCTAATTTTTATATTTTTAGTAGAGATGGGGTTTCGCCATGTTGGCCAGGCTAGTCTCTAACTCCTCACCTCAAGTGATCCGCTCTCCTCAGCCTCACAAAGTGCTGGGATTGCAGGTGTGAGTCACCATACCCTGCCAACCTTTACCTTTTTTTAGAGGGAGGCTTTATTCAGACCACCCCAGGCTCTTTGTCTTTCAGCATTCTCTACCTGTTTGCCTGAAAAAGACATGAGCTTTGGGAGGTTGAATTCTTAGCTCCTTGACCCTGGGCACAGGGCACATACTTACCCCTCTGAGCCTCAGTCTTATCATCTGGTAAATAGGGCTAACAGCAGCAGCGACCTCATGGAACTGCCCAAGTGCTCAGCACATAAAAGGTGATGAGCACATCATATTTCCTGTCTCTTTTTGTCTCTGCTCCAACCATCCAGAAAGGGATTTTAAACATCAGGACTGCTGAGCAGCTTCCAACTATGGGATTTTTAAGATATGGTGTTAATTGTTTCCATCTGTCTGCCAGGGTTGAGGTGCTATAAACATCCCATTTTCAACCTTAGCAAAATGCCTCAAATATCTCCATGACACCCTAGGAAGGAACCAGGAAGAATGTGGGACTCCCAAGGAATCGAAGCTCTCAGAGCGATCTTTTCCTCTCTTCTCCTTTTGTTCCTTCGGTCTCTCTTCATTCCTTCTCCCTCTGGACATTTATTAAAAACCATCTGCCCACAGTCAGAACCAGAGATCTGAACAAAACTTGCCAGAAGGCAAACTGCATTTTTCCCCTGAAGGAGGAAAAGACTATCCTGCCTCTGCTAGGCCCTAGTTAAAGAGTTAAAGGTGTCAAGGCTCTTATCTTCTGGAATTCTCTCACAGTCAGCTTCCCAGAGCCTGACCTTGAGTGAGTGAGTGATGCTGACATTGCATCACTATCACCTTCTCCACACAGACCCTTCCCTGCCCTGTTTTCTACCCCACAGCCCCTGATTTAAATAGTGGCTACAGCACTGACACAGTATGACCTTGAACAAGGACACTCTTCACATCTCATTTACCCATCTACAAAACGGAGATGCTGACTCCTACCTTACAAGGTGGGTGTGAAAAACAGAACAAGCTAATGCAAGAAAGGCAACTAGAGAACACCCTACCACTCTTCAGGATTCCAAGGTGGCATCTTGCATTCGTAGATGAGAGGATGCACACTAGTACAGAGAAATATTTTTCGGCATTCAGAGCATTTTAGAGTAGTGTTTCTCCCATCTTCAATCTTTTACATCCCGTTTTCCCAGTGTTTGCCACATTCCCATCTCACTTGTACAATTAAGACAAGTTTTTTCATTTAAATGCATTTATTTTAAAAGGATACTACATATCATTATAGTAAATGGAAAGTTAGTATCATCAGATGTAAATAGAAGGTAATTATAACTATTTTATAAAAATTATTGAATTATTGCCAAATAAAATTGCCTTCAAAAGGCTCTGAGCCTGGGCATGATTTTTCATTATGAAAGAAGCAATTAGTTTTAGAAACATGTAAAGTCTATTTCTGAGCAGACTGTCTTCTTGACATAATCTGAAAAATTGAAGTAAAATGTCAAGAGCATCATTCAATGTTATTAATGCAGTCATGTTCCACCTGGGTTCCATGGCCCCACCTGTCCTTCTCTAAGGCTTCAGGGCCAGTTACAATGTAATGTGACCGCAGTGTGTATTAGTTGAATCCTCACCAATTATACTTGATGATAATTACTTCTAAGGAGAGTAGCCCTTTACAGCTTACAGAGTTTTCATAAACTTCTGTGATTCACACAAAAATCCTTAAAAATAAAAAGGCAAAAACGATCCCCACTTCCAGATGAGTAAACTAAGAATTTAATTGACTTAAGGTCACAAAAGCCACACAGCTAGTAAATTTAAATTTCTGCAAAAGTGGAAGGCTGGGGTTTTGAGCTAACAAGACTAATTAAAGCTATATGGGTTTAAATTGGTCTTCAATTTATTAAAGTTCTGAATTTAAAAAGCAACTTTGTCTCGAACCTTTAAATTTAAAGTATTATGCGCTATTAATCTAGTGACTTGTATATAAGAAGAACGATTTCACATGATGTTTGATTAATATGTAATGTATTCTTAATCTGTTGGTGATCTCCAGAGAAACAGAACCAGTAGTACATGAATGTGTGTGTGTAAGTGTGTGTGTGTGTGTGTGTGTGAGTATACACACATACACATTTTTTTTTTAATCTTAAGAAGAAGGAAGCTAAGGTCATAGCCTGGGGTAATAGACTCACTATTCATAGACTTATAGAGCAAGTACATACCCTTTTCTCCCACCTTATCACCTCATCACCAGGACTCCTGCATAAGAACAGCAGATGACAGCTAAAGAACAGCAAGGCCCAGATTCTACTTAAGAAGGAGTTTCTAGGAAAAGGTAAAGACAAGAAGGGAGAGAAAAACAAGAACAACAGAAAAAATTGAAGTCTCAGATACCTACTGTATTAGGGTTCTCCAGAAAGACAGAACCAATAAGATGTATAGATATAGATATAGATGTAACCAATATATAATATTGGACAGGATATCCAAGAACTGTGGAACAATTACAAAAGGTATAACATATGTGTAAAAGGACACCAGAAGGAGAAAATGGAAAAGAGTAGAAAAATATGTGAAACATTTAAGGTAATAATGGCTAAGAATAGATAGATAGATTGATAGATAGATAGATCTATATATATATGTAGATAGATAGATCTATATACATATATGTATAGATAGATATAGATAGATATCTTATATATTATAGAGGCTGAGAAGTTTTACAATCTGCTATCTACAAGCTGAAGACCCAGGAAATGCAATGGTATAATTCAGTCCAAGTCTGAAGGCCTAACAACCACAGAAGCCAATGATGTAAATCCCAGTCCAAGGGCAGGAGATGAGATGAGATGTCCCAGCTCAAGCTGGGTAGGAAAAAAGGGATGAGTGTCTCCTTCCTGTGTCTTTTGTTCTATTACAGCCCTGAATAGATTATATGATGCCTGCCCATAGCACAATTCAAACTCTGATCTCTTCCAGAAATACCCTCACAGACACGTTCCAAAATAACATTTCATCTGGGCAGCCCATGGCTTCATTAAAATTGACACATAAAATTAATTATAATACCTACAGCTATAGCAAACAGTAAACACAGCACTACTACTAGCCAGATAATCATAAATGCTCTCACTAAAGGTCTGTTTATCTCAGTTCCTATTACCCCATACATCATGTCCAGCTTTCAACAAAAAATTACAAGTCATGTATAAAAACAACAAAAAACTCAGTTTAAAGAGATAAAACAAGTGAAAGAACCAGACTCTGATATAGCAGAAATCTTGGGATTATCATACCAGAAATGTAAAATAACTATGATTAATATGCTAAGTGTTCAAATGGAAAAGGTGGGGCAAGATGCAAGAATAGATGGGTAAAATGTAAGCAGAGACATGGAAATTCTAAAAATAGAAAATTTCTTAAAAGTTAGCAATCAACAGCATTGCAAGAGAAATGAAGAATGCCTTTGGTGGGCTCATCCAGTAGATTAGACACCTTCAAGGAAAGAATCAAGGAGCTTAAAGATGTGTCAGTAGAAACTTCCCAAATGGAAATGTGAAGAAAACAAAGAATGAAGAAAAATGGAACAGAATATCCAAGAACTGTGGAACAATTTCAAAAGGTGTGACATATGTGTAAGGGAATACCAGAAGGAGAAGGTGGAAAAGAATAGAAAAAATTTGAATAATGGCTGAGAATATTTCAAAATTGATAACAGACACCAAACCACAGATCTAGGAAGCTTGGAAAGCATCAAGCAAGATAAATAAAAAAAACACATGTAACCCTAAACTTAAAAGTTAAAAAAGCAAAAATAATGGTAAATTAATATTCCCCAGCAAAAAAAAGTGAGAGAGAGAGAAATGTAACTTACATATATAGCAGAAAAAGGATAAGAATTACAATGGGCTTCTCTTCACAAACTGTTCAAGTAAAAAGATCGTAGGACGTAATATTTAAAGTGTAAAAATAAAAAAACTACCAATCTAGAACTCTGTATACTGCAAAGTTAACATTCAAAGTGAAAAGAAATAAGACTTTCTCAGACAAACAAAACTTCTGAGTATATTGGTCACCAGTAGGCTTGCCTTGCAAGAAATTTTAAAAGTTCTTCAGAGAGAAGGAAAATGATACAGAAGAGAAACTCAGATCTTAAGCCATTTATTTCCCTTATTCTTAATTGATCTAACAGATAACTGTTTTTCAAATTATAATAGCAACAACATCTTGGGTGATTATGCCTTATAAATAAGTAAAATAAATGCCAGTCAGTTATAAAGGCTGGAAGGGAGAAACGGGTATTACTCTGTAATATGTACCTGTACTACACATGAGCTATTTGAAAGTGGATTTAAATTTGTTGTAAATGTATACTGCAAACTCTAGAGCAACTACTAGAAATATTTTTTAAAAGAAGTATAACTTACATGCCAAAATAATATAAAATGCTCAATTACAACTAGAGAAGGCAGAAAAACACGGGAAGATCTTAAAAAGAAACAAAAACCAATTGCAACAAATAGAAAACAGTTATAAATATGGTGGCTATTAATCTAACAACATCAATAATCACTTTAAATATAAAGGTCTAAGTATGCCAGTTAAAAGACAGAAACTGACAGAGTAGATTAAAAAATAAAACCCAGTTATGTTGTCTAGAAGAAATCCCCTTTAAATATGAAGGCACAAATAGGTTAAAAGTAAAGGGAAGAATAAAAAGATTAATTTTAAGAAAACTAAAAGGATGTAGACAGATATACTATGCTAACACAAATTAAAAGAAAGCTGGAGTAACCATCTTAACTTCAGACAAAGCAGACTTCAGAATAGAGAAAATTATCAGGAATACAAAGGGGTATTACATAATGATAGAGGTCAATATTCCAAGAAGACATAACAATCTCTGATGCATATGCACTTAACAACAGAGCATCAGAATACATGACATAAAAACTGGTAGAACTGCAAGGAGGAATAAACAATCTACTATTATACCTGGAGACTTCAGCACCCCTCTATCAGGGATTAACAGATCCAGCAGACAGAAAATCAGTAAAGACGTAGTTAAACTAGACACACTGCCAAAGAACTGGATCTAGTTGATGGCTGTAGGCTATTTTATCCAACAACAACAGAATGCATATTCTTTGCAGTTTCACATGGAACACTCACCAAGATATATCACATTTTGGGCCATAAACTTTATTGATTTATTTATTTATGTTTATTTATGTATTTATTTTTTGAGACAGGTTCTTGCCCTGTTGCCCAGCCTGGAGTACAGTGGTGCAATCTTGGCTCACTAGTAACCTCCACCTCCTGGGTTCAAGCAATTCTCGTGCCTCAGCCTCCCAAGTAGCTGAGATTACAAGTTTAAAAGTACAGAAATCATACAAAGTATGATTTCTCTCATGGAGATTTGGTTCTGTCAGTAGAACCAAACTGCAAATCAATAACAGAAGGATAGCCAGAATATCCTCAACTATTTGGAGATTAAACAACACACTTCTAAACAGCAAATGGGTCAAAAAGGAAATCTCAAGATAAAATAAAAAATATTTTTAACTAAACAAAAATGAAAATACAAGTTACCAAAATTTGTGAGATGCAATGAAGGAAGTACTTATACAGAGACTTCTAACATTAAATGCATATATTAGAATAGAAGAAAGATCTAAAATTAATAATCTAACCTTCCACCTTTAGTAAACTACAGAAAAAATAACAGCATGAACCTGAATAAAAGAAAGCAAATAATAACAAATTAGAACAGAAATCAATAAAATTGAAAACAGAAAAACAATAGAGAAAATCAACAAAACTAAAAGCAGATTATTTGAAAACAACAACAAAACTGATAAACCCATAGCCAAGTAACCAAGAGAGAAAAAAAAAGAGAGAAGATGTAAATAACTAAAATCACAAATGAAATAAGGGCCATCACTACTGATCCCATGGATATTAAAAAGGATAATATGCCCACAAATGTAATGACTTAGATGAAACGGACCAATTCCTTGAAAGTGAAAATCTATCAAAACTCATACAAAGAGAAATAGATCATCTAAGTATGCCTATACGTATTACATAAATTGAATTAATAATTAATGGCCTTCCAAAACATAAAGCACCAGGCCCAAAGGATTTCACTGTTAAAGTCTACCAAACATTTAAGGAAAAGATGACGCTAATTATCTGCAATCTCTTCCAGAAAATAGAAGCAGAGGGAACATTTCTTAATTCATTCTATGAGGCCATAATTGTCCCAATACCAAAACCAGATAAAAATCTTGCAAGAAAGTAAAACTACAGATCAATAGTTTTCATGAACAAGGATGCAAAACTCTTCAAAATATTAGCAAATCAAATCCAACAATGTATAAATATAATCATACACCATGACCAAGTGAAATTTAATTCAGGTATGCAAGGCTGGTGTGAAAATTTATTAATGTAACCCACCACTTTCATGGACTAAAGAGAAAAATTATATAATCAAATTTATTAATACAGAAAAAGCATTTAACAAAATCCAACAGCAAATCATGATTAAAAACTCTCTGTTAACCAGGAATAGAAAGAAACTTCTTCGACTTAATCTTTTTAAAATATGTAAAAAAAAAAATCTACGGCCAACACATGACCTAAGGGTGTGAAACTAGATGTATTCCTGCTAAGATCAGGAAAAATACAAAGATGTCCCCTCTCACCATTGGAAGTCCTAGCTAATGTAATCAGACAAGAAAAGGAAATAAAAGGTATATAAATTAGAAAAAAAGAAATAAAGTTATCTCTGTTCCGAGATGATATGATTGTCCATGTATGAAATCTCAAATAATGAACAAAAAACCTCCTAAAACTAATAAGTGATTATAGAAACATTGCAGGACAAAAGGCTAATACACAAAACTCAACTGTTTTGACTTTAATTAACATCAGCAATGACAACTGAAATGTGAAATTATAAACACAATATCAATTATTATATTAACACCAAAAAATTTTGAAGTATGTAGAAATAAACCTAACAAAATATGTATAAGATCCCTATAAGGAAAACTACAATATTCTGATGAAAGAAATAAAAATATTTGTTTTAAATATTTTTAAAATCTAAATAAAGGAAGAGTATTCTATGTTCACTGAGAGAAGACTCAATATTGTTAAAATGTCATTTATTCTCAACTCGGTCTGTAGATTTAATCCCAGAAATTTATTTTGTGAATATCAACAACTAATTCTAAAGTTTAAATGAAAAGGGAAAACAAGTCACCTAGAACAGACAACACAATACTGACGAAGAGAAACAAAGTTGTAGGACTGATCCAACTATCCAACTTCAAGAGTTACTATACCAAGGCAATCCTATACAAAAAGAACAAAGCAGGAAGCATCAAGCTACCCAACTTTAAACTACACTACTGGGCTACAGTAACCAAAACAGCTTGGTACTGGTACAAAAACAGACACATAAACCAATGGAACAGAATAGACAGCCCAGAAATAAGGCCACACACCTACAACTATCTGATCTTCAACAAAGCTGACAAAAACAAGCAATGAGGAAAGGACTTCTTATTCAGTAAATGGTGCTGGGATAATGGCTAGCCATATGCAGAAGATTAAAACAAAACTCCTTCCTTAAACAATTATATAAAAATAAACTCAAAATGGATTAAAAACTTAAATGTAAGACCCAGAACTATAAAAACTCTGGAAGACAAAACCTAGGCAATACCATTCTGGACACAGGCACTGGCAAAGATTTTATTACGATGATGTCAAAAGCAATTGCAACAAAAGCAAAACTTGAAAAATGGAATCTAATTAAACTAAAGAGCTTCTGCACAGCAAAATAAACTATTAGTACAGTAAACAGACAACCTACAGAGTAGGGGAAAATATTTGTAAAATATGCATCTGGCAAAGGTCTAATATCCAGCATTTATAAGAAACTTAAGGAAATTCATAAGAAAAAAACAAACAACCCCATTAAAAAGTGGGCAAAGGATATGAACAGACACTTTTCAAAAGAAGACATACATGCAACCAATAAGCATATGAAGAAAAGTTCAATATCACTGATCATTAGAGACATGCAAATCAAAACCACAATGAGATACCATCTCACACTGGTCAGAATGGCTATTAATAAAAAGAAAAAATAACAGATGCTGGTGAGGTTGCAGAGAAAAGGGAATATTAATACATTGTTGGTGGGAGTGTAAATTAGTTCAACCATTGTGGAAATCAGTGTAGAAATTCCTCAAAGAGCCAAAACCAAAACTACCATTTGACCCAGCAATCCCACTACTGGGTATATACCCAAAGAAATATAAATCGTCGTATCATAAAGAAATACGCATGTGTATATTCATTGCAGCAGTATTCACAGTGGCAAAGACATGGGATCAATCTAAATGTCCATCAATGGTAGACTGGATAAAGAAAATGTAGTATATATACACCATGGAATATTATGCAGCCACAAAAAAGAATGAGATAATGCCCCTTTCAGGAACATGGTTGGAGCAGGAGACCATTATCCTTAGCAAACTAACACAGGAACAGAAAATCAAATACTGCATGTTCTCACTTATAAATGGGAGCTAAATGATGAGAACATATGGACACAAAGTGGGAAACAACAGACACTGGGTCCTACTTGAGGATGAAGACTGAGAGAAGGGAGAGGAGCACAAAAAATAACTATTGTGTCCTAGGCTTAGTACCAGGTTTATAATATAATCTGTACAACAAACCCTGGTGACACGAGATTTCCCATATAACAAGCCTGCACATGTACCCCTGTACCTAAAATAAAAGTTTAAAAAGTAAAATAAAAAATAAAAACTTCTAATATGCATTCTTCAATTTAAAAAAGAGAAAAAAGAGTTATTATAGGGTATATTAATCAAGACAATGTGATGTTGGTGAAAGAATACACGAATAGATTAAAGGGACAAAATAGAGTCAAAAAATAGACCAATACATATACATTTAACTGATCTTTGACAAAGGAGCAAAGGCAATTAGTCTTGAGATAGTCTTTTCAACAAATAGTCAGCAAGGGCCTAGGGAGAGCCCAGACATTACACTCATCCAGCTACAATGAGGCACAGTCATTTCTTCCACACAGTCAGTTCAGAGAAGGCCAAGTGGGAGCTGAAACTCTCATTCCCACCTAGTGGTGACTTGCGTCACACCCTAGACTTCCACTTTCCTCTGGTGATAACAAGATGCCCCTTGGCCTCCCCACGGGGGTGGTGCCAGGGAAGGTGTAAGAGAGGGTCAGTACTTTTACCACCATGCAGTGGTAACAAGGCATCCCCTGACGTGTTGCATGAGGAGCAGTAATAAGGTGTCCCCGACCCTCCTAGCAAGGGTGGTGTCAGCAGAGGACTAGAGGGGAGCCAGAACAGTCACAACAAGATGCCCTCAAGGTTATCAAGAGAGACTGAGTGGGGGGTCTAGACTTCCATTTTTACCCGGAAGTAATGAAGCAGAGCCCTTCTGTCCATACAGTATCAGGGAACATCTGCTAAAAATGAAGCTCTAAGTAAGGTCCAGAGTCTCATATCATAGTACCCAAACATCTTGGATTCAGTCGCTATTGCTCATCATATCAAAAACCAGGAAAATCTCAACTTGAGTAAAAAAGACAACAGAAGCCAGTACCAAGATGATTCAGATGTCAGAATTATCTGACCAGGATTTTCGTGAGCAATGACAAGCACAATAAAAACAAAGACATAGAAAGGCTCAACAAAGAAATATAAAGAACCAAATGGAAATTTTAGAACTGAAAAATACAATAACCAACATTAGAAACACTATGGGTGGGCTCAACAGCAGAATGGAGAAGACTGAGTAGAGAATCCACGGATTGAGAAGAGAACAAGAGAAATGACCCAATCGGACAACAGACATCAAAAGACATTTCTGTATCAAAGGGCATTATCAAGAAACTGAAAAGACAATCCACGGAATGGCAGAAAATATTAAATATTGGCAAATCATCAATCTGATAAGGGTCTAGTAACTGGAATACATGAAGAACTCCTACAATTCCTTAACAAAAACACCAACAATCCAATTTCAAAATGGGCAAAGGACTCAAATAGATATTTCTACAAATAATATATGTGAATGTTCATAGCAACATTATTTATAACCAAAAAGTGGAAACAACTCAGTGTCGATCAAGGGATGAATGGATAAACACAATGTGGTCCATCCATACAATGGAACATTACTCAACCATAAAAAGAAATCAAGTACTGATACATTCTACAGCATGCATGAACCTTGAACACGTTATGCTAAAGTGAAAGAAGCCAGATGTAAAAGCCTACACATTGTGTAATTCCATTTATATGAAATATCCAGAATAAACAAATCCATAGAGGCAGAAAGTAGGTTTAGGTGCCATGCTTAATATGGAGTACTCACATGTAGGATGTCTACAAAGAAGTTTCAAAACTTAACAGCAGAAAGCAAACAATCCAATTAGAAAAATGAGCAAATGGCATGGAAAGACATTTCACTGAAGATACACACATCGCAGATAAGCACATGACAAGATGTTCAACATCACTGGCCATAAGGGGAAGGCAAATGAAGTCTATAATGAGATATCCCTCCCCACCTATATGACAGGAAAAAAAAATAAAGTGACAATACCAAATGCTTATGAGGATACAGAGAAACTGGATCTCTTCTAAGTTGATGGTGGGAATGTAAGTGGTACAGCCACTTCAGAAAAGAGTTTGTCAGTTTCTTTTTAAAAAAGAGAAAAACTAAACATACTCTTACTATACAACTGAGCAATTGTGCTTCTGTGCACTTATCCCAGAGGAAAAAAAATGAATATCCACACACAAAGCTGCATGTGAACGTGTGTGTTTTATTTGTAATAGCAGCTTTATTTGTGATAGCCAAAAACTGTTAAGTCAAAATGTCTTTCATTTGGTGAATGGTTAAACAAATTGTGGTATATTCATACCATGGAATACTACTCAGCAATAAAGAGCAAACTATTGATACGTGCAACAGCTTGATTAGATCTCAAGGGCATTAGGCTGAATGAGAAAAACCAGTCTCAAAAGGTCACAGCTTGTGAGACTGATCTCAGAGATAGTAGAAGCAGGGTGGTAGGGAGTAGAATGGGAGCTGGGGGAGATCTTTGTGGCGATAGAATAGTTTTGTATCTTGATTGTGGTAGTGGTTACATAAATCTACACAAGTATTACAATGGCATAGTACTTTACACACATATTGTACCAATGTCAAATGTCTGGGTTTGCCATTGTGCTGTAGTTAGGTAAGATATAATCACTGGGGGACACTGGAGGAAGAGTATAGGGACTTCTCTGTGCTCTTTGCAACTTCTTTGCAACTTTTTATCTGACCATATATGAAAATTAAATGTAAACAAAAATATGCAACAGATTAGGAGAAAATATATATAATGGCAAAAGGGTTACTATTTACTCATCAATTAGAAAAAAACAACTCTTTAATTTAAAAGTTAAGAAATAAACAGGTGAAAAAATACAACTACTCAATAAATATTTGAAAAGATTTGCTGTGTTTCTAGTAAATCAGGGAAAACAAAACAGCAATGAGAATTTATCAAGAGGGTCAAAAATTTAAATATTTGATGTTAGCAAGGTGGGGGCTGCAGACCAGGCCCTCTCATAACACCCATTAACATGGGAATTAAATTGGTATAGATTTTTCAGAGCCATCTATCAAAATTGAGAACATGTATTTGCCAAGTCCCAGCAATGCCAATTCTCTGCCTCCTAGGGAACATTTCTAAGCATATAGGAAATAGGATGCACAGAGGCGTGTTGCATGTGGATGTTGCTGGTGGGGCAGGTGGTACCTAGTACAAGGGTGGCCAGCGTCACTGAAATGCAGCCTTCAGAGGGATGCAGAAGCTGAACAGGCCTGAGAGTTCCCCCTTCACGGAGAGCATAGCCTTCTCTCCTCCTGCAGTGATGATTGAGGGATAAACCTCTGGCTGATGGGACTCAGGCAGGGCCAGGCCGTCCGTGGGTTCCCAGCCTAATGCAGGTTGAGAAGTGGCTTGCCCTGTCACAAACCCCACTGGGTGAATGCTTTGTTTAAAAATTTTCCTCTAGAAGTGAAGCAGCTTCATTCAGTCAAATTAATCCATCCAGAGCAGACCATTAAAAATACTGGTTAGTGAAGAGGGGGTCCTTAACTCACACTTGACAGACCCAGGAGACCTGCTGTAGCACAGATGGGAAATGGGAGACAGCCAAGGTGTGAGGGTGAAGGCTTGTCCAGAATCCCACTCCGAGTGGTTTCAGGGAGAGGACTCTGGTCTCAAGCTCTTCTCCTGGGCTTTATTTACCACATACCCCTCCTCAGGCCCTGAGTCAGGAAGTTGCTTCCCACAGTGATATCTACAAAGAGCTATACAGCCAGCTGGGATAAGGGATGAAGGTCAAACCGAAAGTGACTATTTCTGTGCAAAGAATCAGAGAGAAAAATCTTATGGGCCCAACAGCAGTAGGTAATTGAGAAAGTGAGACTAAGAAAAGTCATAAAAGAAACGGTGATTCCTTATTAAACAATATGGAAAAACTGTCCACTCCTGCCTATAATCCAAGGAGCTGCTAGTGGACGTGGTCTCGAGGCCCATTTTCATCCCTCAAGTGGGCTTCGATGATGAGCGCTCAGTGCCCATGAGGTGGCAATGACACTGTTCCTCTCAGAGACCTTACTTATGTGTGGCCAATTTGCGACAGCTGATTTGTAAAGCAGTTTGGCAATCTGTATCAAAAGCCAAGGGATGTCCATTCCTGCCATCAGGGTCTTCCTCTTCTGGGAATTGATGCCAAGAACATAATTGACAAAGATGTATATTCAAAGATATTTGCCATGGTATTATTTGTAACAATGAATAAAGGCAATGCCAAATGTCAGTGGTCTTTGGGTTTCTCTCTGCCCTGGCTCCCTCTTCAAATCACTCTACATGCTCCAAAGTTACCAACCATCAGTCCATCCCCTCCACAGCCATGTCTTAAGCTCAGACCCGTTTCTTGAGCTCCTGCTTGGTGATCCCAGGATGTCCTTTAGACAACCCCCTTAGATGTAGAGAGCTGAATTCACCTTCCCCCCACCTCCTCCTCTTTCAACCTCTCTTATTTGAATACAGCAAATGGCATTCCCACCACCTAACCCCTCAAGCCAAACATTCAGACGACATTTTTGTCTCCTTCCCATCCCTCAACTTCCCAGCCCGTTAATCACCATCTCCAAAATCTCTCTAAAATCCGCCTGTTTCTCTCCAACCCCACCACCACTGACCTGGTCTAAGCCACCAGCACCCTCCCCTGAATGACCACTGAAATGTAAATTCTACAAAATGGTTTCCTACAACCATACCTTGCCCCTGCCCTGATCCATTCTCTGTCTTGCAGAGTCCTCTTCCTAAAACACAAATCTGACCATGTCACACCTCGTGAAAACTTTCAGCCACTTTCTATTCTCCAAAGGATCAGCTCAGATCCTGAGCAAGATTTGCAGGACCTCAGGCCCACCGCTTTGGACTGATCTCTAGCAGCTTCCTCTTTCCCCCATGGCCTTTTTCCAGCCTTAGACGCACCACAACCCCCTTGCCTCCTGTCCTTCTGCAGGCTCTGTGGGGACACTCGCATCTGGAGCTCCTTCTTCCCCCACTGGCTGAATGACTCAGTAAATTAACAAGTGAATACTTCAGATGCTGCCTGCACTCTGGACTGGCATCATACAAAAATGATACTGATAGAAGAAACAAAAGAAATTCCTAGATGGCACTTTTTTAAAATGTCTAATACATTTACTCTCCAGCCAGACACTGTTTAACCCATCTTGAATCTATTGAAGAGTGAGTTCTGACAGCTCAGCCTTGATCTGCCTCCTGCCTGGCACCAGCCCTCCTGGAACTGGTTCCTGTGCACCATCCTACACATCTCCTTCCTGCCTCCCTTCACTACCTACTCTATTTCCAACAATGTTGGGCTATGATAGCTCAAGCAAATACAGGAATAAGGAGGCTTACAGCCAAGGCAAGAAAAAAAAAGGGAGGGCAGTTAACAGTAGAGCTGCCAGCGACCAGTAAAAGGAAGCCTGAGGAATAGGAATCAGCCTCGAAAGCAGACTTCTGCCAGGAAAGCAGCTAAAAACACTGATATCTCAGGGTGAATACAATTCAGGAGGGGAATGAGAATAGAAAAGCATAGTGGCTGGAAGAGCAGGCTCCGAGGTCAGAGCTGGATTGATCCCACCTCACCGTGGGCAAGTTACTTCCTCTCTTTACTCGTTTATACCATGAGTTATTGTGTCTGGCATATGGCAGTTTTTCAATAAATCCTAGCTATTCATATTATGAATCCTGAGTATATGGAGAGGGCAGGGAATAGGCTAGAGACAAGCCAGCAAAACTGGGGTTTCAGACCAGAAATGACTTCACTAATGGAGCTGCAGGTAGCATTGTCCTGGGCTGCACACCGCAGCCCTTGCTATTCCTGAGCAGTTGAATTCATAGTCATCTATTCATGGTGTTCTTTTTAATAAGTCCAACATTTTGGTGAGTGACAGCTTCATCCCCAGAGAGAAGGAAGTATTCTTCCTAATTCTTCCTTCGTGCCCCCTTCATTTGCACCCATGAGTCATTTTCTCACCACTCTGTATTCTGCTCCTTAAACCTTTCTTGGATTCTGTGATATGCTGAAGAAGGCTCCTACTGGCCTGTGAGAGCCAATTGTTAAATTTCCAGAAATTTTGTAAGCTGGTCATTAAACACAGCCATTACCAAAAAGTATTATAAAAATCTCCAATTAAATAAGTTATATTAACAATATGTTGAAACTCACCATTTCCAAATTATTTTACTGCATTTTACTGTTGTCTGTGCTTTGGAACTTATTTAAATGAAATACATTTCTATGATGGAAATACTGTGTAATGGTGTGCTGGTGCACAGCCCTTCCACCTTTGTGTTCAGCGATATCACATTGGGAGCTTGTGATTGGCCATGGTGGTAGTATTTATACCACAAAAATTGGCAAAAGCTACAAATTAGGGCTTGGTTTGCTGTTTTTTCATTCCCTAAGAAAACTAAGAAAGTGATGGAGAAAATGTTCATGCAGATTAAACCTAAAAGTGTGTCGCGTCCATAGTTGTTACATTGTGAATAACACAAAAATTGGGAAAACACTCTTCCAAATTCAAAAACTATGATCTGATCCAGCAGTCACTCATGTCATTGACAGATGAGTGAAGTTAAGACAATCATCTTCATTGTTTCACTTTCTTCTTACTTGTCAATGTAAACAAAAATATCAACCAACATTCATATTGGAACTACATTCAGTGGTCAATTGCAAACAGGCTGACCAAGGGTATAAGAGTTCAGCAAAAATCAACAAATGCATGCTGTGAGAATCAAATGGCTATATAGAATTTGTAATAAAGAGTATTTTATATTTTATTACTTGTAAATTGTGCAATATACATCCTTCATATCAGTAAAATTTATAATGAACTTATTAGATGCATATGTATTTGTTTTTGCTCACAGTGCTGGCAGCACCAGCTTGGAGACCTCCCCTTCTCTACATTCCACTGTTGTTTTCTTAGGTTAGGCCATCTGTCATCATTCCAGGTTTCATCCTCTCCAATCCCACACCCATATTGCTACTAGATTAATCTTCTTAATATTAAATGCAGACACGACACATCCTTCATTAAAACTACCAGTGCCTATCTGGGACCTTCTGAGTGAACTCTGGGCCATAGAAGGCCTTCCTTGCTCTCCCCTGTTCACCTCTGCAGCCTCCTTTCTTATCAGATTCCCCTGTTCCCACTTTACTAAAGTTAGGCCAAACTGCCTGCTGTTCCCAGAGCATGCTTTACTTATTCATGCCACTGGGCCTTTGCATGTGCTTTTCTCTGCTTGGGATGCCTTTTCCAATCCCCCTGCTCCCAACTCCTGCTAGTGTTCGCTTAGCATTAAAGCCATGCTCAAGCAACACCTCTCCCAGGAGCCCGTGCCACCTCCATTTCGGCACTTGCTATCACCGCCAGTTTTCATGCAGGTCCAGCATTCTGCCCCCCGACCCCCACTGTCCTACAACCTGGAAGATCCTCTGGGCTGGGGGAGACATCCCCAGCATTTGGCATGTGGCCCCAGGAGATACCAAGTAAGTTCTCGTTGAATTAATGAACTACTTAATTGGTTTCAGCTACAGCCTATAGCAAATCACAGGATTTAGCCAGGAGAAATAGACACGACTCATCTCTGAACTCAATTGTTGCTTTAAAAAAAAAAAAAAGTTGTTTACACTGTTGAAAACCTCAACTGAGTTTTTTCTTTCCTTTAAGCATACAAATAAAGCCAGGTGAATCATTTCTTTTCCATTGTTTTCTGGAAGTCAGCTAGGCATACCCTGAGTCTTCTTACTTTAAACCACTGATACTCTTTAAGCAATAACCAAAACACTTGCTTCTGAAAGATAGTGACAGCCATGATTTACTGGGCTACTCAAATGCTCCAAGTATGTTCTAAGTGCCTTACGCGTGTCACCCCATGAATCCTCAGCAACATCGTAACGCATGGGGCATTATTATCCCCATTTTACAGGTAAGAAAAACGAGTCTTAGGAAAGTTAAAAGAGTCATTTGAATTTGCACAGATGCTGAATAGCAAAGCAGTGATTCAAACAAGGGGTGGTCTGATTCTAAAGTCCATGTTTTCTCTTCTGAGCCCATTCTTTATTGCTAAAAAACAAATACAATGTCTATCAGGCTTAGCCAATGGCCTGGAACAAATAATACTCCAAATAATACCACAAAGGGCACTGACACAGGTCCTTGCCCAGCTGTGTTCTTCTTATTCCGGATACCTAGACCCAGTAAGAAGTTTGCCCTTTCCCTGACCAGATTTATAGGAGAAAACTGAATGATGCCAAGGAATACCTGCGTCCTTCGTTAAAGGCTGCATCCAAAAGTCTCCGTGACCAGGTCTAGGCCTTCATCATGGGACAACTTTCCAACAAGGAGCAGGGGTCTCTTGCAAGTCTGTCCGCGGAGCTCCCTGCCACCAGCACTGTTGCCGCTGTCTTTGTTTACTGCTTGTCACTAAGCACTTGCTGCCCAGCGAGTGAGTCAACAAGGCCCCTTCCCTTTCCTGCCACCACTCTCATTCCCTGGGTCCTGCGCAGTCTCTGGCCTGTTAGCAGGCACTGCCACCCCAGCAGCCTGCGTCCTCAAAGCCAGTGACCCGTGAGAGAGCCAGGAAGAGCTCAAGTGGATTAGGTGCCACTGAAGGCAATGGGATTGCTGCTCAGCAGGGCTTTTACGCTGATGTCTCTTTATCTCCTGGCCCAATCAAAAGAAAGAGCTCTGCAAGGAACTGGGGGCAGCCCCAGAGCAGAGGCTTAGTGTCATCAACTCAAGAGTCCTCCATGCCCTTTCATAGTGTCAGACATTGGACCTGCAACCAACAGGACAGGGAACCATGTGAAAGCAGCAGGAGGAAATGATAACCTGGATCTGTCTGTGAGAAAGCAAGAAAAATGTGGTTAGAGAAAGGGGGAAAGGAATTCTTACTCTTTCTGGTGCTTGGATTCAGAAAGGAACCAGCAGAGATGGGGAACAGCAAGAAGTAGATCATAGCTCTGTAGTAGAAGGGGCAAAAGAACAGATCTCTCAAGCCCTTTAAATCAATAGCAGTGTCAAAACTGAGACGTATTTATTTAAAAAGAAAACATGAGTTTTTGCCTGACTACAGAATAAAATACTAAAATTTGAGGCCGGGCACAGTGGCTCATGCCTGTAATCCCAGCACTTTGGGAGGCCAAGGCGGGCAGATCACGAGGTCAGGAGATCGAGACCATCCTGGCTAACATGGCAAAACCCCGTCTCTACTAAAAATACAAAAAATTAGCTGGGCCTGGAGGCGGGTGCCTGTAGTCCCAGCTACTCCGGAGGCTGAGGCAGAAGAATGGCGTGAACCTGGGAGGCGGAGCTTGCAGTGAGCCAAGATCGGGCCACTGCACTCCAGCCTGGGTGACAGAGCGAGACTCTGTCTCGAAAAAAAAATCTGATGAAACTCAGTGCTGGTGAGGGCATGGAGAATGAGTACTCTCATATGCCAATAGTGAGATTACAGATAAGTGCAACTTCTCTGCAGGGAATTTGGTAATATTCATCAAATTTGTAAATGTACATATCCTTTGTAAACCCAGCTGCTAAGAAGTAACCCCATGGACATTCTTGCAAAAGTTCACCAAAGCATCTGAGAAAGGATGCTCTTTGCAGTGTATTTTGGTAGTAGCAGAAAACTGAAAGCCACTGAAGTGCCCATCAACAGTGATTATTGTAGTTCACACACAGTAGAAAACCAGCTATGCAGCTGTGTAAAGGAAGGAAGTAGATCTGTGTGTGCTGGCATATAACAATTGCCTAGAAAATTCTTTAAGTGACAAAAGGTATGGAATAGCCTAGTATGTTTCCTTTTATTACAAATAGGTACATAAAGACCAGGTATATTTACGTATATTTATGTATACATATTCTTTATACACTGTAGTATATTAGAATATTATGTAGACATATTCTTGTGGTTCTGGAAGGAATCACAAGCAACTTAATAGTGGTTGCTAGGGGAAAGAGTTTTGGCTCATTATTTAGTCAGGAAAATTATTGTTCATTTTGGTATTTTCCCCCTATAACCTTATGTTATATTACTTGAAAAAAACTAAAAAACACAATGTTTTACATTTTTTTCTGCTTAAAGCTATCTATATTGACATTCCCTGCTAGCTAGCAAAACATTTCACAATATCTGCAACAATCTTTTACTGTTTTTTCCAAACTTGTCTTCTCATCAGATTCAGCCTTGAAGACGATAAAATGCAGATTCCCAGGCACCACCCTGAATCTGCTGAACCTGAATCTCTGGGCCCGAGCCAGAGCATCTGTATTTTCAGCAAGTGTCCAGGTAATTTTTATTTAGTAATTTTTTCAGGCTGACCACGCAACCTTTCTCCCAGAAGAAGAAAGTTGACTTCTCCAGTCATGTGGCTCGTTCACAACAGAACAAAAAGCAACACCTAAGTCATCTGCCAACAGGTAAATGCTGGTCTGCTTAAAGTCACCACCACTTTCACTTTTTCTGTTAAAAATACTAGCAGTAACCCCCTTCTATTGTTGCTCTGCTAACATTTCATTAAGTCCATTTTTTTGCATAAAAATTTTATCAATGTGTTTTTGTTTTTCAAGTTATCAAAGCTAATAGTTTCTCTCTGAGTTATCTCTGTGTCATTCCCTATATAATTTTGTTATATTTTATATATTTTTATTTTTTAAGGTTATTTTCCTGTCAAAATTCTTTATTGCGTATGATCATTTAAAAAAAAAACTTTATTTTAGGTTCGAGAGTACATGTGAAGTTTTGTTACAGAGGTAAACTCATGTCATGGGGGTTTGTTGTACAGATTATTTCATCACCCAGATATTAAGCCCAGTACCCAGTAGTTATTGGTTCTCTGTCTACTCACACCCCCCCAACCCTCAGGTAGACCCCAGTGTCTGTTGTTTCCTTCTTTGTGCTCATAGTTCTCACGATCCAGCTCCCACTTATAAGTGAGAACATACTGTATTTCATTTTCTGTACATGAATTAGTTTGCTAAGAATAATAGCCTCCAGCTCCATCCATGTTCCCATGAAAAACATGATCTCATTCTTTTTTATGGCTGCATAGTATTCCATGGAGTATGTATACCACATTTTCTTTATCCAATTTGTCATTGATGGGCATTTACATTGATGCCATGTCTTTGCTATTGTGAATAGTGCTGCCATGAACATAAATGTCCATGTGTCTTTATAATAGAACAATTTATATTCCTTTGGGTATATACCCAGTAATGGGATTGCTGGGTAAAATGGTATTTCTGTCTCTAGGTCTTTGAGAAATTGCCACACTGTCTTCCACAATGGTTGAATGAATTTACATTCCCACCAACAGTGTATAAGTGTTCCCTGTTATTTGCAACCTTGCCAACATCTGTTTCTTTATACATATTTTATTAATAGCCATTCTGACTGGTGTGAGATGGTATCTCATTGTGGATTTGATTTGCATTTCTCTCATTATCAATGGTGTTGAGCTTTTTTCATACACTTGTTGGCCGCATGTATGTCTTCTTTTAAGAAGTTTCTGTTCATGTCCTTTGCCCACTTTTTAATAGGGTCGTTTGTTTTTCTCTCGTAAATTTGTTTAAGTTCCTTATAGATGCTGGATATTAGACTTTTGTCAGATGCATATTTTGCAAATATTTTCTCCCATTCTGTAGGTTGTCTGTTTACTCTGTTGATAATTTCTTTTGCTGTGCAGAAGTTCTTAAGTTTAATTAGATCGCACTGTCAATTTTTCCTTTTGTTGTGATTGCTTTTGGTGTCTTTGTCATGAAATCTTTGCCAGTTCCTATGTCCTGAATGGTATTGATTGCCTAGGTTGTCTGCCAGTGTTTTTATAGTTTCTGGTTTTACATTAAGTCCTTAATCCATCTTGAGTTAATTTTGTATATGGTGTAAGGAAGGGGTCCAGTTTTAATATTCTGCATGTGGCTAGCCAGTTATCTCAGCACCATTTATTGAACAGGGAGTCTTTTCCTCATTGCTTGTTTTTGTCAGCTTTGTTGAAGATTCACATGGTTGTAAGTGTACAGCCTTATTTCTGGGCTTTCCATTCTGTTCCATTGGTCTATGTTCCTGTTTTTGTACCAGCATCATGCTGTTTAGGTTACTGTAGCCCTGTAGTATAGTTTGAAGTTGGGTAACTCAATGTCTCCAGCTCTGTTCTTTTTGCTTCAGATTGCCTTGGCTACTCAGGCTGTTTTTTGGTTCCATATGAATTTTAAGATAGTTTTCTTCTAGTTCTGTGAAGAATATTGTTGGTAGTTTGATGGAAATAGCTTTGAATCTGTAAATAGCTTTGGGCAGTAAGGCCATTTTAATGACTTTGATTCTTCCTATCCATGAGCATGGGATGTTTTTCCATTTGTTAGTGTCTTGTCTGATTTCTCTGAGTAGTGTTTTGTAATTCTCATTGTAGCAATCCTTCACCTCCCTGGTTAGCTGTATTCCTAGGTATTTTATTCTTTTTATGGCAATTGTGAATGGGATTGCCTTTCTGATTTGACTCTCGGCGTGGCTGTTGTTGGCATATAGGAATGCTAGTGATTTTTTTGTACATTGATTTTGTATCCTGAAACTTTGCTGAAGTTGTTTATCAGCTGAAGGAGGTTTTAGGCTGATCGAAATCTTTGAGTTTATATATTTTTTAATTTAATTGCTTCACTTTCAAAAACTGTGTTTACTCCTATTTATAGAGAGTTCTGGAAAGTGAGGTATATAATCAAGTGAAATTCAATAATAAATCCGATTGCCAGTTGTGCCCTTTTGTTTTCCAGAGAAACAGAACCAATTGGATATTTATTTATAAGGAATTGTCTCATGTGATTATGGTGGCTGAGAACCTCACAATCTGCCATCTGCAAGCTGGAGACCCAGGAAAGCAGATGAGATAGTTTCACTCTGAGTCTAAAGGCCTGAGAAACATGGTAAGTCCCAGTCAAAGAGCAGAAGACCAATGGCCCAGTGCAGTCAGCCAGAGAGAGAGAGAGCAAATTCTCACTTCCTCTGCTTTTGTGTTCTGTTCAAGCCTTCAACAGACTGGGTGATGCCCACCTACATTAGGGAGAGGAGTCTCCTTTACTTAGTCCACCAACTCACAGGCTAATCTCACTGGGAAACAACCTTACAGGTACACTGTATTCATCCATTTTCATGCTGCTGATAAAGACATACCTGAGACTGGGCAATTTACAAAAGAAAGGTTTACTTGGACTTACAGTTCCATGTGGCTGGGGAAGCCTCACAATCATGGTGGAAGGCAAAGAGGAGCAAGTCACATCTTACATAAATAGCAGCAAGCAAAGACAGAGAGCTTGTGCAGGGGAATTCCTTTTTTTAAAACCATCAGATCTCATGAGACTTAGTCACTATCATGAGAACAGCATGAGAAAGACTTGCACCCATGATTCAATTACCTCCTACCGGGTCCCTTCGACAATATGTGGGAATTCAAGATGAGATCTGGGTGGGGACACAGCCAAACCATATCATCCCAACCTGGCCCGTCCAAAATCTCACATCCTCACATTTCAAAGCCAATCATGCCTTCCCAACAGTCCCTCAAAGTCTTAACTCATTTCAGCATTAACCCAAAAGCCCACAGCCCAAAGTCTCATCTGAGACAAGGCAAGTCTCTTCCACTTATGAGCCTGTAAAATCAAAAACAAGTTAGTTACTTCCTAGATACAGTGGGGGTACAGGCATTGTGTAAATACTGCCATTCCAAATGGGAGAAATCGGCCAAAACAAAGGTTCTACAGGCCCCATACAAGTCTGAAATCCAGTGGGGCAGTCAAATCTTAAAGCTCCAAAATGATCTCCTTTGACTCCATGTCTCATATCCAGGTCACGCTGATGCAAGAGGTAGGTTCCCATAGTCTTGGGCAGCTCCACCCCAAGACTTTGCAGGTGTGGCTTTGCAGGGTACAGCCTCCCTCCCAGCTGCCTTCACGGGCTGGTGTTGAGTGTCTGCATCTTTTCCATGCACACAGTGCAAGCTATCATTGGATCTACCATCCTGGAGTCTGGAGGATTGTTGCCCTCTTCTCACAGCTCAACTAGGCAGTGCCCCAGTAGGAACTCTGTATGGGGACTCCGATCCCACATTCCCCTTCCACACTGCCTTAGCAGAGGTTCTCCATGAGAGCCCTGCCCCTGCAGCAAACTTCTGCCTGGGCATCCAGGCATTTCCAAGCATCTTCTGAAATCTAGGCAGAGGTTCCCATACCTCAATTCTTGACTTTTGTGCACTCGCAGGCTCAACACCATGTGGAAGCTGCCAAGACTTGAGGCTTGCACCCTCTGAAGCCATGGCCTGAGCTTGACACTGGCTCCTTTCAGCTACAGCTGGAGTGGCTGGGACACAGGGCACCAAGTCCCTAGGCTGCACACAGCACGGGGACCCTGGGCCTGGCCCACAAAAACACCTTTTCCTCCTAGACCTCCAGCCCTGTGATGAGAGGGACTGTCACAAAGGTCTCTGACATGCCCTGGAGATATTTTCCTCATTGTCTTGGTGATTAACATTCAGCTCCTCGTTACTTGAAAAAAATTTTTTATTTTTATTTTTTACACTTTAAGTTCTAGGATACATGTGCAGAACATGCAGGTTTTTTACATAGGTATACATGTGTCATGGTGGTTTGCTGCACTCATCAACCCATCATCTAGGTTTTAAGCCCTGCATGCATTAGGTATTTCTCCTAATGCTATTACTCCCCTTGCCCCCCACCCTCCAACATGCCCAGGTGTGTGATATTCCCCTCCCTGTGTCTATGTGTTCTCATTGTTCAACTCCCACTTATGAGTGAGAACATGCAGTATTTGGTTTTCTGTTCCTGTGTTAGTTTGCTGAGAATGATGGTTTCCAGCTTCATCCTTGTTACTTTTGCAAATTTCTGTAGCCGGCTTCAATTTCTCCTCAGAAAATGGGTTTTTCTTTTCTATCACATTGTCAGACTGCAAATTATTTGAATGTTTATGCTCTGCTTCCCTTATAAAACTGAATGCCTTTAACAGCACCCAAGTCACCTCTTGAATGCTTTGCTGCTTAGAAATTTCTTCCACCAGATACCCTAAATCATTGCTCTCAAGTTCAAAGTTCCAAAAATCTCCTCCAATTTGGGGCATATGGGGTACCAATTTGGGGGGTACCAGAGCAGGGGCAGAATGCCGCCATTCTCTTTGCTAAAACATAACAAGAGTCACCTTTGCTCCAGTTCTCAAAAAGTTTCTCATCTCCATCTGAGACCACCTCAGTCTGGATCTTATTGTCCATATCAATATCAGGCTTCTGGTCAAAGCCATTCAACAAGTCTCTAAGAAGTTCCAAACTTTCCCACATTTTGCTGTCTTCTTCTGAGCCCTCCAAACTATTCGAACCTCTGCCTGTTACCCAGTTCCAAAGTTGATGCCACATTTTTGGGTATCTTTTCAGCAGCACCCTACTCTACTGGTACCAAATTACTCTATTAGTCCATTTTCATGCTGCTGATAAAGACATACTCGAGACTGGGCAATTTACAACAGAAAGAGGTTTAATTGAACTTACAGTTCCATGTAGCTGGGGAAGCCTCGCAATCATGGCAGAAGGCAAGGAGGAGCAAGTCACATCTTACATGGATGGCAGCAGGCAAAGATAGAGAGCTTGTTCAGAGGAACTCCTCTTTTTAAAACCATCAGCTATCATGAGACTTATTCACTATCAGGAGAACAGCATGAGAAAGACTTGAACCCATGATTCAGTTACCTCCCACCGAGTCCCTCCCACAACATGTGGGAATTCGAGATGAGATTTGGGTGAGAACACAGCCAAAAAATATCATACACCCAGAATAACATTTAACCACGTATCTGGGCAACCCATGGCCCAATGAAATTGACACATAAAATTAGTCATCACAATTCTACCCTGTGTCTACTTGACTGTGATTTAAAGACAAATAGTATATCTGTAAAGTGTGTATCACACTTAATTTCCAAATAAAGACAAGAAAATAACAAGGGCATTATTTCACCTAACATGTTACAATTATCCTGCATACAACAAAAAAAAGTAATAACCCTTTCCCCATAAGAGAGGTAAATCCTTGAATGATGTTTACTTCTCCTCTTGATATATTGTAACTTAAATACTTGATGTAAAATTATCAATACTTAAATACTATGATATAAAGTCAATATATATTATGTTACAGATAAAGAAATAAGAAAGGAAAGAAAACAAATATTATATACACACACAAAAATATATTCATAACAAAATAAGGAGGAAATATTCATGATAATTACAGTCCTCATTTCTGTAACTGTTTACATGGTCGTTGCTGGTGTTTATAACTATTTTCTTCCACTACTCATTCTGTATTCCCTTTGCTTTCAGCATATATCACAGATGACCATGGTTCTTTACTTGGTGGAGTGACCTAAACCTTCATTCCTGAAGTATCTGAGCCATTGGTAGCTCCTGTCTGAACTGGGTTGTTGTAGTTTTCCACTGACCTTAATCACAGGGCATGGTAATACTAAGAGATGCCCTAAGAGATCTCCAATATTTCAGACAGACTCTTCCTTACTCCATTGTGTAACAGCAGTTGAATTTCCCTTTGGCAGTGAGGATCAGTCACCCCAACCAGCATAGTAACTCCCATCTTTGCCTGTTGATTCAGAGGCATGAAGAACCCACAGTGACTGGGTAGTCTTAACTGTTGTGTCTCCCAGTAGAAACATTCTTTCATCTGAAACTAAGACTTGACAGCATGCACAGCATAAGGTCACAGAAACAGGAAGTAAAAGTTTTGCTGTGGGTCACTAGGGGTAATAATGAATGGTGCCACTCTCATTTCTACCCCCTGACTCTGGGCCCATGAAACCTGGCTATGGGAGAAGGAGCACCTTTAATGAATGCTGATTCAGAGCATATAGAGCTTCCCAGAAAATGCTTCCCCAACCCTACAAGGCATTGCCACCTAGATGGTGTTGTAACTGAGTCTTCAAAAGGCCATCCCACTGTTCTAAACCAGCTGCTTCTGAATGGTGGGAAACATGGTAAAACCAGTGATGTGCTAGCCCCTGTGCCCCTCCTCTGGGCTCTGCTCCAAGAGCTCTGCCCAACCAGCACTACGCCAGATTTCAGGACCTGTGTGGGTTGCCTCCTCCCTGCATCTGTCCTCTAGATGTGGATGTGGCTGGAGCTTGGCCGTGAGGACCTAGAGCCCCTGAGAGTGTGGGGAAGACTTGGAAGAGTAGTGACCCATGGCCTGGGGCTAAAAGTGCATAAATTCCAAAGAGTTAGAATTATCATTTCACATTTAATCTTCCAGGAGGTTATGAAGGTACATTTACCAAGGTAAGAAGACAGACATATCTAAAGAGATTTTTATTTAAAGCCTGATGGCTTGACTCATAACTTTTAAATATTTAGACCTAACATACGTGGGCCTCCACTTGCATTCTTTGCCCTGGGTCCTGCAAATGTTAGAGAGGGCCTGTTCCTTTACTGGAGCTGTCAGCTCTGGATTCCCTGTGGTCTATCCTGCCCTGCTTCTTTATAACGTCAACACATCTTTGATCTCCTCACTCCACCTTCCTCACTCTACCTCAGCCATCTACTCCTGTGTTCATAACTCAATCTTTGTCATTACAAGGAAATTTTGCTGTACTATCTGCAAAACTTACATCTCAAACATCCTAGGCTCAGACCAGCCACTGACTCATATTTGTCCAGCTTATTCCCTCAAGTTACCCAACCCTGACAATTTTTTGTGCTCATCAAGACCTCCCATCCATGATCCATGAACCCTACCACTTTTCCACTGTTCTGTACTTCTCTCACTCTCCAGCTTAGAGTTCATGGTCCATGTGTCAGGAACTCCTCCTAAGCATGCACAAGCATCTGTTTTCCCCTTCCTCCTGGGCACACATCCAGACCACACTTCCCAGCCTCCCTTGCAGCTAGGTGGAGTCATGTGACAGAGTTCCAGCCAATGGGACATGAGTAGATAGGATGTGTGCACAGGAGGGGGATTCAGAATGGCAGTGATGATAACCACAGTGACCTTGGAAGCCTGGGACCCTAACTTGCACCCACCTAGAACATTTTCCCTGGGGTATTAAGGAAAAGGAAATCTATTTAATCTGAGCCATTGCATTTTGTTACATCAGCTGCATTCCTATATCGCCTCACTGAAATCACTCCCCTGCATGTAGCCAGGAGGGCAAGCACCAACGTGGCACAGGGTTAAGAGCAGGGATTGTCCAACCAAGACCACCTGGGTCATATTCTGGCTCCACAACATACTGGCTGTGCTATCTGAGCAAGTTATTTCTCCTCTGTGCCTCTGTTTCCTCACCCGTAAAATGGAGATGATAATGGAACCTACTCCTAGATCCGTTTGAGACCCACAGGTCTGGTAAGCAAGTACTGTAGAACAATGAGACCCTGCCTGCCACAGTGAACGCTATATATCTGCCACCACTGCATCTGCTCTCAACCCCACTGCTTCTCTCACACTTAACTGGGGCAGGGGGACCAAATTCTAGTTAAATTCAGGTTTCCCCTCCTCCTGTTTGTGTCCAAGCAGCTGAGCCATGTTGAAGAATGTCACAAACCCCTGCTGTGCTGCCTCATCTTGCTCCCCACTCATGGCTGCAGCCCACTGGTGGCCCTCGCACCTCCTAGCTGTCCCTCTGCATGTCTCTTCAGTTCTCCCAGGCTGCAGCCATGCCTTCTCCTTGCCCGATGCTGAGCGGTAACCTCATGCCTCACTGAGGAAGGAGAAGCTGTCAGAGGAGAACTCCTTTGTGCTCCCACATTAAACCCACGTACCTCCCTGTGTTCCCTTATCTGTTCCCTTATCTGTTCCCTTATCTGTGTTCCCTTATCACCTCTCTCCTGGTTCTTCTCAAATTAGGCTCCTCCTGCCCCCAAAAGCACTGAAAGGACTCTGTCTAGGATGCTAAATCCAAGAGTCAGTCTCAATTCTCATTTTCCCTGACCTGCTAGCAGCATTGGATCAGCCCTGTTTCCTCACAACGCTTTATTTCTTTGGCTTCTAGAACGAACGCTCCTGTCTTTATACCCCGCTGGCCACTCTGTCTTCTCACCTGCTTCCTCCCGCACTGCCCTCTAAACATGGGATTCCTGGGAGTTTCTTCCTCAGCCTCTTCTCTTCCCTTTCTATCCCCACTCCTCCCCGACATTCAGCAAGTCCCATGGTTTTAGTTACCATCATAGGCAATAATCCCAAATTCAGATTTACAAAGAGCACCTGTCTCTCCAATTTAAACTCTGGATTCTTTTGACCAACTGCCCACATGTCTTCACTTCCTGAGGTCTAATAGGAAACTTAAATTTAAGCATATCTGAAAGAGAATTGTTGATTTTCAAATCGTCTCTCCCACCAAAAAGAAACCCTTGCTCCCTCCTCAATTTAATTATCTCAATAAATGTTCTTACCATAAACCTAATTTCCCATGCCAAAAAACAAAACAAAACAAAAAAAACAGCCACCCTTGACTCCCCTGGGTCCTTACATCACATCAATTGGCAGGTTTTGCTTAAAACATCTGACGCTCCTCACCATCCCTCTTCACCCTCCCCTGGGACTATCATTCCCCCGCCTGAACCACTGAGGGAGTTTCCTGGCTAGTCCTGCTCTAATGATTGATGACCCAGCCTATTCCCCACTCAGCAGTCAAGCTGTCCTTCGAAAACCAAAGGCAGATCGTGCAATCCCCTTGTTCAGGACCTATCTGTGGGTGCCCACTGATCGCCTGTGATCTAACCCTGGTTAGATCTAGTCCCTCCCTCCTTGGTGTCCCCTGCTCCAGTCACACTGGTATTCTTCCAAGGTCCCAGTTTGTTCCAGGGCTTTGCATGTGCTGTTTCCCCTGCCTGGAGATCTTCATCTGCTATGATGTCACTTCATTCAGGCCTCTGTCCGAACGCTGCCTCTTTAGAAAGTCTGTGTTCCTTCATCAGGCTGGGTCCCCTTGCCTCTATTAGTCCCCTTTATAGCAATTACTGGTTTTTACTTTAATACTATGTATTTATTTCTCATTTATTTTCTATCTCCCTACTGACAAATATTAGCTAACCGATGGCTGGGACCATATCCATCTTGCTTCCTGCTTGTGGCAGGATGTTTTCAGCTGCATGTGACAGATGAAGCAATGAAAAGTGATTTAGACAATCAAGGATATCTGTGTCCCCACATAAATGCACATTCAGCAGCTCAGCAACATCAGAGCCTGGGGTTGACATTTGTTCTTCTCACACCAAAGAATGGCTGCTGCAGCTCCAGCCTTCACATCCAACTCAACCATGTCAGAAGGAAGAGAAAGGACTTTGATCTTCACATCTGTTTAGAATCTTCCAGAATCCCTAGTCAGCTTCCCCTTTTATATCCCTGGCCAGACAAGATCAAGGGCCCACCCCTAAACCCAAGTAGAAGAGGATGAGCACAGTTGGCTCTGATCAGTCATGATTTCTCCCTGGACGGGAGGACGAACTCAGCTTCCTAGAGCACGCACTCCCTGATGGGTTCACAAAATGAGACCCTGAGATCAAGGAGGAAAAGGGTGTGTGGCTATTAGGTGACAAATCCGGAATGATTGTCTCAATTCTGTACCCCCTGCACCTAGAACAGGGCCTGACTCAGAGCAGATGCTTGATAAATGCATGCTGATTGGATGGTAGAATATTTGTGCCTTTACAGAGGAGAGGTGTCAGAGGGAGCAGGACCAGAAATAATGTGCTGTAACTCAGGCCCACTAAGTGTCAAGGTTTTTGCATGCAGTACATGAATCCAAACACACATACACACACACACACACACACACACACACACACACACACACACACACACACACACTGGGAAGCAGGGAGTATTATCCTGATTTTACAGATTAAGAAATTGAGGTACAGGGAAGTCAAATAATTTTCCCAAGGACCCATAGCTGTAAAAGATGGTAAAGTTAGGATTTGAACCCCAAACAGTCTGTTTCTTCCCCTAGAAGAACCAATGCTAGTGAAAGCCTTGGAGAGGTAGAGGGTAGTTCTTTCTTTGAAGTGAGAGGGAGGGAGAAAGTGTGGAAAATGTTCAGGTCCAAGGGGAGAATGTGGACAATCTCATGTCAGATGGCCCCAGTCTTTTCAGTAAGTCACCCTCAGAGTCACCTGCTGATGAGTAGGATGAAGCTCAGACAGAAGTGGAAATGGATTGGCATGAACACGGGGAGGACGGAGATGGTGACCAGGCGGAGAGGAACAGTGGAGATGGTAAGCAGCCAGTGAGCCCCACAGCTGGGGCTGTGCAGAGGATCAGAGAATCAGGAAGACCCAGGGAGGTGGGGACAGGGGTGACTGGGACCTGGAATGAGGGAGGTACAAATGCCAGAGGCTGGCTCAGTGCCTTGTATCTGTTCTGTTGGTGGGGGAGGGCAAGGATTTTTCAAGAGTTAAGTCTGAGCAGACCCGCTCCCAGGTTTCAAATCTGGGGCAGATGGTGCCTGGGTAGTTATTGAAAAAGGCTGAGCAGAAAGGAGGCTTTGTGTACAAAGGAAGGAGGATCCTGCTAAACACCAGTGAAGGGGCTGGACCCCAGCCAGACAGTGCTTGGCAGGACAGGCCTGGGCTGAACTGGATCGTATGTGACCAGAAAGGACAGGGAGTCCAGGGAGCTGGGGAAGAAGACAGAGCCAACTGAGACTGGCAGACCAGCCAGAAACAGCAGGGGCGGGACCTGGGACCTGGGCTTTACTTAACAGCCCCAGGGCTGTAGGGCTACAGTTCAACTTCTGCAGAGCTCGCCTGTCAAGTACAAGGGCAGCTGACAAACGTGTGTGGTTTGAGATGACTTGACCTTGGTTGGTATTTCTACTACCTGCTTAGATAACATCTGGGCACTGTTTTTCTAAGAACTGCAACTGAAAAGGAAAGCACACACTTTACTAAGATTCCCACGGCCAGGTCCGTGGGCCAGGCCTGGAAGCCACAAGGAGGAGGCTGAGGGAGGTTCTCCTGGTGGGAGGAGGACTGCCCACCTCCGGCTCAGACGCTGTGGGTACAGACACCTGCCCCTGCCACGTTGGCTCAGGTGGCTGCCTTTGCAGGTACAATGAGCTTATGAACAGCTCTGGCCCAGGTGGAGGAAGAGACAAATCTGGCGCTCAGAGAAAAAGCAGCAGTGAGTTGGGGCCAGAATCACTGATCCACTGAGACAGGCCGTGGAGACAGAGGCACACATGGAGCCTGCAGGAAGAAGAGCAGGAGGAGTCAGACACAGGGCAAGGTCGCCCAAGGCAAAGCTTGTAGACACTGAGCACCTACGGCCTTTCTTCTCGTGGCAACACATTCCAGTTGCTGACAAAGTTCTAGGAAGAAACGAATGATCTCTCCGGCACCCAGCTGAAAAAGGAAGTGCAAAGTTTGGGAAAGGGGCCCATTCTTGGGTGATTTATCTACCATTGAAGAAGGGGCCTTAAGGAGGGCACATCCTTTGTCCTGGCTCCTTCCACATCACAGGGGGCAGGAGAGCCTCTGGATGTGTCCAGTTGCAAAGCAGCTGAGGCTGGCGATCTTCCCGTGATTTCTCACTCAAGTATTTGCCCTAACCAACAAGATGGCTTTAATCCATAAATGGCCCACAATGGGTTTGTCTCACATGCACTCGGTGCTGCCTGGGCTCCTGTTGGGTCATGAGGTGAGAACACGGTGCCCTGCCCCCTCGCCCTGCTGCAGTGCCACACGCATAGCCACCCTGCCCACCCTCCTTGCTCCTTCCCACCCTCCGCCTGCCCACCTGTCAGAGAAACTCTGCCTCCCCATGTCTCTCGGCTCCTGCGGTGGCCTCCCTTCTCCCTAACTCTTCTGTTACACAAACTGAGGCTGGACCTGAAAGCACACAACAACAATGCCATTTATCCCCATCGTTCAATCAGTCATTCATCTCTCCCACTACTCACGGGACCCTGGGCAAGTGACTTAACCTGTTTGTTAACATGGAATGATTGTGAGAATTAAATGAACAAATACATGGCCATCCATGGCATATTTTACATGTTCAATATGAGTTCATTGTTATCACTATTGATGTTTTCATTATAGTCTATGTTATCACTTATCCAAACATTTACTGAAATCAGCTGTGTGTCAGGTACACTCTACAGAGTATGGGAGGAAGAACGGCCAAGGAGGCCCATGTTTCAGCAGCTCCGCACTGGAATGGTCTGAACACCGCCCCTCTGTCTGTACTTCAATGGGCCACTTCCTGTAAAGAAAAAAATTCTTATCCAATAAAGCATTTCTTTGCAGAAGTCTAGAAATCCTTTGTATTCTCTTGGGTCATGACCTCTCTGTCAATATGATTTCTTCCCCTGGGTTAAAGGACTCTGCCAAACATGGGGAGCAGGCCATAATGAGAGATGGGGTGGTATGCATTGTCTGGGATGCTTTTCTTTGCCTTTGTCAAGTTGCAGAGAAGAAAGGCCTTCCGAGAACAGGGACAAGGCAGTCCCCTATCCCACAATGCAGACATGACGCCGCTGCATCTTCTGGTGACCACACCACCTCGTGGTCACCACTGGAACTCCACCCAACCTCCTAAAATGTGAAATTCAGCCGCAGTCCTTCTGTCAGAGTGACCTTGAGGACTACTTGGTGAGTGATATGGTTTGGATTTGTGTCCCCGCCCAAATCTCATGTCCAGTTGTAATCCCCAATGCTGGAGGAGGGGGCCTGGTGGGAGGTGACTGGATCACCGGGCAGATTTCTCCCTTGCTGTTTGCATGATAGTGAGTGAGCTCTCACGAGATCTAGTTGTTTAAAAATGTGCAGCACCTCCCCCTTTGCCCTTTTCCTCCTGTCCCTGTTATGTAAGACATGCCTGCTTCCCCTTCACCTTCTGCCATGATTGTAAGTTTCCTGAGGCCTCCCCAGCCATGCTTCCTGTACAGCCTGTGTGAGCCAATTAAACCTCTTTTCTTTATAAACTACCCAGTCTCAGGTATTTCTTTACAGCAGTGTGAGGACAGACTACTACAGTGAACAACACTGCCTAATTGAGGCAAACATTCTTAGAAATGAAAAAGGAAAACAACCCACTCCTCGGAAGACAGTATGTAATAGTGGTTCGAGCCAGATTGGAGTTTCACCTCCAGACGAATGAGCTGGGTGGCCTTGGGCACATTACACAGCCTGTCTAAACCAGTTTCCTCATCTGAACTGGAGTCATAATAATGCCTATCTCATAACGTCGATATGAGGACGGCATGAAGTTCCGGATGTGTGGTCTCATACATGGCCAGTTAGTACCTGCCACCCGAGCATCCTCTGTCTCCTCCTGCCCACCCCCTGCCACTGGATTCAGTGTCAGGAGTGCAAAGTCCATTCACACACAAGCCCCGTCTTGCTTGGGTCCATGAAAGCTGATGTTTCCCACACATTTCTGGAACCACCAAATAAAGTCCACACATAGCCGCAAATCAGTCCCAATCATGACTCCCATAGCTGGAGGGCCATACACACTGCACATGTCACATCTGCCTGCCTCTAAAGGGCCACCTGAATGGGGACATGGTGACAGCTTTATGGCAAAAGGTGGCCACACAAATTCCTCCCATCCCTGTACACTGTGCCCTTTGCTGAGAGGTTCTGGACACTGATGCTCTGGCCCTCTCAGGATTATAAGCACTACCTCAGGCTGGAAAGGAGTCCCTCCTTCACTCTGCTGTGCCCAGTCAGGAGAGCACTGCCAAGCCTCACTGGGACCCATTGTGTCACAGAGCAATAGAGGTTCTCCATCCCCACACAATTGCTTTCCTTCCTTGAAGTGGGTTTGAAGTGCTAGCTGCATGACATCTTCAGAGCCAGCATCCCATCAGGCACCTGATCCAGAACCCTGCTAACTCGCTCTGTCTGTTCCTTTTTTTCCTGGCCCCAGTGAATGCCAATTGAGGATAGACTTTGTATCAGTTATCTATCTATTACCAGGAAACAAATGGCTATAAAGTTAGTTGGCTTAACACAACAACCACTTTATTTGTTCATGACCCTGTGGGTCAGCTTAGCTGGGTGGTTTCTCTCGGGTGACTCATGTGGTTCCAGGAATCGTCTGATGGTTTGATGAGGGCCTGAGGGTCCAGGTGGCCTCCCTTACATGTCTGAGAGTTGGTGTCAACTGTCAGTCAAGTCTTTTTATCTCCTTGTGTCTCTCATCTTCCATATGGTGACTGCAGCTTTCCTAGAGGACAGAGGTGGGAGCTGTAAGGCCTCTGGGGGGCCTAGAGTCAGAAGTCACACGGTGCTACTTCTGCTTTCTAACTGGCTAAGGCAAGTCCCATGAACAGCCCAGATTCAAAGGAAATAAAGTCCACCTCTTGATGGGTTGACAGCAAAGTTACATTTCAGAGGAAGCTCACACAGGGATAGAGTGACATTTTGCAGCCATCTTTGCAAGCAGTCTCCCACATAGTGGTGGGGTTTTTTGTTTATTCTACCTCAGTTGGCTCCTCATCCTTCCTGGAAATCAGTGAATGTAAGTTACTACTCCAGGGTGGAGGAGCAGAAGGACTTCAACACCAAATGCATCTGTATGTTTCTTTCCCCCCTCACCTCTTGTCTTTGTCTTACTTCTGCCCCATTTCCCACAAGTGTGTGCTGCTTGGATCCTTTCTTTCCTTCTAACCTTAAAGACAAACATTTCTTTCTTTCTTTCTTTCTTTCTTTTTTTTTAAAGAAGGTTCTTACTCTGTCTCCCAGGCCGGAGCACAGTGGCACAATCATGGTTCACTGCAGCCTCAAGCTCTCAGGCTCAAGCAATCCTCCCACCTCAGCTCCCAAGTAGCTGGGACTACAGGCATGCACCACCATGACAAGCTAATTTTTATTTTTATTTCATGTAGAGATAGGGCCTCACTTTGTTGCCCAGGTTGGGAAAGACAAACATTTCTAAGCCAAAAGCAATGGCTCCATCACTCAGAGAACCTCCCAGGTGCCAAAAATCAGTTCATCTGGGCCAAGGACAAGAAGTAGTCGTAGTGACCATGGGGAAGGCAACAAGGAAACAGATGTGAGAGATAATGAAGAGATGAATCCTGCTGGTGAGAGATGCAGCCTTTTAAAATTATTTAAGACCCCTCATTTGGAAAGCACATTGGAGAGAAGGCAAAAGAAGAATGGAAAGTAGGTAAGACTGAGGTAGAGTGTGAAGATCTAGTCCTCCTTGGGAATTTGATCACGATTGCTTTAAATGTTTACATACATTTTGGGAGAATTGACAGTTTTGCAATACCAACTCTTCCAATTCATGAACATGGTACATCTCTCCCTGTATTTAGGGTCTTCTTTAATATCTTTCAAGCAAGTTTAGTAATTTTATCCTTTTGAATTTAAAGCATGTTAAGGCGATAACATTTTTATTTAAATATTTCTTGGTAACTTTTTTGAGAAGCATGTGGCTACAGATGTGGATGCTGATACTCTCAATGAATAGTGGAAGTGTTATGTGGTCTGAATCAGTGGTGGAGACAACAAACAAGGTTTCCCGTAAAACAGGTGTCCCTATCCATGGTCACGTCTGCCTGCTGTTGAGAAAGAGCATTTCTGTAATAGACCAATAACTAGATAAAGAAAGCACAAATCTGTTTGGGGTTGCATTGTGGATGCCAATCTGCATGTTCTCAAGTTAGTGATTTAAAAAAAAAAAAGAAATAAAGAAAGTAAGAAAAGAAGAAGGGAAGTATATTTCTGGACTGACTAATACAACTGTGCCTCATCACCTGGGGTCCACAGGAGCTAAGAGAATTTACAAATGTTTCAACCTCTCTAAGGAACATGATGTTCTCCTGCACATTGTGAGAAAACTCCTCAATAAAGAAAGTAAGAAACCCAGGACCAAAGCACCCAAGGTTCCCCATTGTGTTACTCCACATGTCTGGCAACTCAAACATCAGCATATTGCTTCAAGGAAAGAGCATGCTAAAATATATATATATGTATATATATACATACATGGAAGAAGCTGTAGAATATGCTAAACTTTTGGCCAAGGAAATGAAGGAGGTCAAAGAAAAACACTAGAAAGAGATTGCCAACAGACCGAGGCTATTTTCTCTGAAAGCTTCTACCTCTGAGTCCAGTCAAAAATAAGATTTTCTAAGAGTAGCAAATAAATAAGATCAGACATCCACAAGAGGGAGAGGGAGGGAAGAAGGCGAGAGAAAGAGAGAGAGAGATTTCAGACACTGCAATTTATCAGACACTGATTATAAAACAATCTTTTTTATTTATTTTTTCAGAGACAGGATCTCACTCTATTGCCCAGGCTGGAGTGCAGTGGCACAATCTCACCTCACCGCAGCCTAAAACTCCCAGGCTTAGATGATCCTCCCACCTCAGCCTCCCAAGTAGCTAGGACCACAGGCGCACACCACCATACCCAGCTAATTTTTGTATTTTTTTGTAGAGACAGAGTTTCACCATGTTGCCCAGGCTGGTCTCAAACTCCTGGGTTCAAGCGATCTGCCCACCTAGGCCTCCCAAAGTTCTGGGATTACAGGTGTGAGCCACCAAGCCCAGCCAAAATGATCTTTTTATTTTATTTAAGTAAATGAAAGACAACTTTGAAAATATCTACAGGGAACAGCAAACTACAACAATTACCTCCCAAATGTGACAGATAAACAAATAAAATGTCTAGAAATTTTAAGAATACAATAATTGAGCAAATTTGCTGAATTTGGGCATGTGAACAGTAACCCTAATGGAGTTGTGTAATATGGTTACCCAAATGGAGTCTGGCATGAAGTTCATGACTTCAGTCCAGCTCCACAGAACACTCTGGCCTTTTGCCAGATCATCTCCTCCAGTCACAATGTTAGGATCCAAGGGCATACTGTAAGTGGTTTTGGGGCAATTCGGGTTCCAAACATTGGTACCAACATCCCCAACCTAGGGGCAAAATCCTTATTCCCTGTGGGAGGCATTGCACACTGCTGCAGGTCTGCTGACTTTATTCCAATATGCTGTTTCTCATCTGTGACCCTATGATCTTAAGGACCCCAGCCAGGGGTCCCACGCTGGACAAGTATGGAAGAAGTGACTGTGACTAGCTGTTGAAGACCAGTTCAGCCCACTAGAGGGAAAATGGAAGCAAATAGCTGGACCAATGTCCCTGAGTCTGCTTTACCAAGATATCTTTCTCACTCTCTGTCCATCTCTTGGCCCTTAACAAGCCTGGGAGAAGACAGAGGTTACCTAGTCCCGAGGCTGAATACTTAGCATGACATTGTCTACCTGGAACCACAATATTAAAAGCATTTAGAGATTTCTGAGCTGTCACAGGACAGAGGGAAGGAGAAAAATAATGATAAGATAACCCAGGGATAAAATTCCAAATATTCTCTGAATCCTGGGGCAAAACTGTTTGTTTTTAACTCTGATAAAAATCACAGTAATTGGCCAGGCGTGGTGGCTCATGCCTGTAATCCCAGCACTTTGGGATGCCAAGGCAGAAAAATCACTTGAGTCAGGAGTTCAAGACCAGCCTGGCCAACATGGTGAAACTCTGTCTCTACTAAAATACAAAAATTAGCCAGGTGTGGTGGCATGCACTGCAGCCTAGGAGCAATAGGCTGTACCATATAGCGTAGGTGTGTAGCAGCTGTATCATCTAGGTTTGTGTAAGCACACTATATGAGTTTCACACAACAATCAAATTTCCTATCGATGTATTTCTCAGAATGTATTCCCATTGTTAAGTGGCGCATGACTAGCTATTAGAAGAAACACAGGCAATCTACACTTTGGGAAGCAGAGAAAAATTATCACCTGCTACTATTTTCCCTCATATTGTTGGTTATTTCAAAACTCTCTGGATATAAAGCTAGTTAGAAGGAAGGGTGATTTCTAGTTTGCCCGGCTTCATTTCCCCCAGGACAGTGGTTCCTGGCCTGAGTTCTCATGGGATAAGGGGAAAGAGTTCCTGGTTCTGTGTGTGTATTAGTTCGTTTTCACACTGCTGATAAAGACATACCCAAGACTGGGCGATTTACAAAAGAGGTTTAATTAACTTACAGTGCCACATCTCTAGCGAGGCCTCACAATCATGGCGGAAGGTGAAAGGCACGTCTCACATGGAGGCCGACAAGAGAAGAGAGCTTGTGCTGGGAAACCCCCCTTTTTAAAACCATCAGATCTTGAGAGATTCATTCACTATCATGAGAACAGCACAGGAAAGACCTGCCCCCATGATTCAATTACCTGGGAATTCAAGATGAGATTTGGGTGGGGACACAGCCAAACCATATCAGTGTGTATGTGTTGTGTGGGTGCATGTGCATGTGCATACAGGTGTGGTATACATGAATGTGCGTGTGTGTGTGTGTGTGTGTGTGTGTGTGTGTGTGTGTGTCTATGTCTAGGGTAGAGGCAGAGGACAGAGACCTGGGTCAGGCACCAGGATTTCAGGGTGAAACCCGATATGTGTTTTTCCTCTTGCTCTGTGTAAATATCTCCATGTTTGAAAATGAACCTCATGGGCCTGGTGCCAGGTATAAACAGCCCTGGACTGGGAGACCTGCTACCATAGAGGTGCTAGAGTAGGGTGTGGGTGAAGCGCAGAAGGTAGCAAAGAAAGCATAGGGGTGCACTATGCATGGGGTCCAAAGGGGGCTTTGTCATTACCCTGGGGACTTGTTGTTCTTGGTTGGATTCCTCAGGAGCCGCATTCAATCCCCAGCCACCAGTCTCCCTCCCTGACCTGATCCTATCCCACCATAGATGAAATGCCAGGAGTCTCATCTTCTTTCTTCATGCTCCATGCCCTCTCAAATCTTCTTACTATCTTCTTTTTCTTATCACTCCCCCAAACCAACTGAAGACCCCTCAGAGGGGTCCTGATGTCAGTAACAAGCAAATGTGGTCATTCTTGGGTCCTGCCTCACAACACTCCAGTTCTAAGTGATGAATATTTACAGGACTGTTCTCAGTATTTCCAAACAGAGTATCTCCACAGGAACCCCCCAAATGTCCCAGGGAGTTTACATCAAGAAAATAAAGATTGGGAACAATGAGGCCTGGGCAAGGCCTCAGTGTCTTATCAAATACCCCCAGAATCCAGGGATCCCAGACCAGAGTGTCCTGCTATACTACATTGGCCCATTTATGAGCTGCTGAACTCTGTACCCCTATCCTCAACCCTGGCCAAGGATAGAGGACTCTAAAGATCACTAAGAACTTTTCCTTGCTTAACTTAATGGTTTTTCTGCACCAGTGCCAGAAGAGAGAGAAAGAGAGACAGTCCAACCTTGGGTATTCCTTTATAACAACACAAACAGACTGAGACAAGCCCTAATAAAATTAAAAGTTAAACTTCCTGATTGATTCCTCCCACCCATCCTTGAGGTAATTCCTTTGTGGCTGAGCACAGATAATTAATCCTATCTGGGGGCATTTTCACTTGACCCTTGCTGAGAGGAAACCCAACCCATCAAAAGTGGTGACCCGGGATTCCACAAAGACGCTTCTCTCCTCTCCTTACCTTAACTGCCTTCTGCTCTGCCTGAAGACACAGATGACTGCTCAAGTACAGGCTCCCATTTCCCAGGGCCCAAGCCCTCCTGCTTCGAGGGACCTGCTATTCCTTTGCCTAGCCTCCCTGCTGGGTTTCCGTATTCCCTGACATTCACAAGGTATTTGGGCACATTTCCATACCATACCACATCACACCATACCATAGAATTATCTTTGGTGAATTCAGTACCCAAGACAGGGCCAGCTGTATAACTTGTAGGACTAAGTGCAAAATGCAGATGGGGTGGGCCTTTGTTCAAAAAGCAAGAAAAAAGTGTCATTAAAGGTACTAAAATATAAAGATTGCTTTTTTAAGGTATCATATTACTTATCAAATGAAATGATGTAATAATAATTCATGACTAACATTATAAACCTATAAATTGCTCCCCAAACCTATTTATGGTATCATAATTTTATATAATACAATAAGCAATAATACTTTATTAAGTATTATTAAGGTGGTATTTTGATTGATCATAATATTTTTCTGGATCACTTTTCCAAAAATATGTTTGTCAGGTCATTAAAATGTATAGCTTTAGCCACTTTAAAAACAATTAATTTTCAATTAATATAATTAAAAGCAATGTCAGTTGCTCTTGGCAAGTGCACAAAGATAATTTTTGGTAATTTTAAATTTTGAGAAGGATCATTCTACAGATGTGATTATTCCTGGAAATATTAAGATTATTTTTTAGATTGTGACAACATTAAATTTATGATAAGTTATTTCAAAATACAAATTTTAGTACATCTAGAACTGATGCTTCTTAAGAAACAATTTTTCTAAAAATATTTAACTTGTCATACAACTTAATTTCACATAAGTTGTATAATTTCAAATGTAAATGTAAACAATGGTATTTTAATGTTTCCTCTGACATTTTCTGTAATTTGTGGAAGTTGTACAGGAAACAAAATGTCTTTATGGTTTGTCTATAATTTAAAATACCCATTTATACATTAATGCTATATCCTTGTATCTTCTATCACAAAAGAAAGTTAATTTTAAAATGTCTTCCTCATTAATAATTGGTTTATCTGAAGCTTCATAGGAAGATAGTATTCTTTTTCATTGAATATGACAATAGTTTATCTTAATTTTTATTTCTAAGCCTGTGGATATTCATTTTGCAATCTTGTAGCAGTTTTCAAAAGCAAATATTCTAAACTCTTTGAAGAGCTCTAATAATTCCTTGATATGCTTTATTGCAATGTCTTTGTTGCATTTTTATTTGGTAATAAGAGTACAGTTTTGTGATAAATGTACAGTTTGTAGCTACCAAAGTTTACTGCCCCAGCATGGAAAGTTTCTGTCCCATAGTTTAGGCCAAAGTGCAGATGCCCTGAAATGGGCTCTGGGTACTGATGAGGAGACATGTCCCACTGGGGTTCCAGTCTAGCCCCTCCTGTCTCTGAGATATGGCCAGTATCTCTTACTGCTGCTGCTGCCTTAGCCAACACCAATCTGGGCCCATGCTCTGGTTCCAATTGTCCCTTCAAAGTCTCACAGTGCCTCAGGCTGCCCTACGCCCACGTGTGTGCTGGACAGTGGGCCTGGGCCCATGCTGCATGCCCTACTGCCTGGCATATCTCCTCTGCCCATGCTTGTGCTCCAGTGTACCATCAGACTGCACTCACAAAACACAAGTCCAAAGATGAAATTATAAGAATTGCAAGATGGCAACAGCAGAGCATTAAACCAGCCATGGACTCCTTGTGAGAGCAGGGTCCCATGCGACTGCACAGGCCAAATTCTCATGAAGCCAGTGCTGCCCAAAGAATTTGCTGCATAGGAAAGGGATTATATAAGTTAGTCATTCAAACCTGGATGCTTTTGAAAGTGCCAGACACACAATTAATAATCACTCTGGGGCAACAGGTATAAACTGGACTCATCCTGGACAACCTGGGGGCATCTGATCCAACTAGGAGTCCAACACAAGAGGCTCATATTCCCTGACTGTGAGTGATCTTCACTTCTGCAATGGACCAGCCGTACACATGTGTGAATATGCATAGGGTACTCCACACGGGAAACCTAAAATATGGTGTCTCAACCAGTTCTTCTCTGTCCATCTCCTTCTTATATGCTCGCATCTGAATTTACCACCATCCTCAGTTCTAAAGAACTGAAAACCTTGCTCCCTGTGTAAATTTTGCCCCAATATATTTGTCCTCTCCTGGCCTCACTGCCCTCCCAGCCTGGGCCCCAGAGTCCTTACTGTGATAATCTCTGGGGCATCTTCAACTGCTTTGATGTCCATCTTTCCGTTTGACATGCCCAGGAAAAAAACCCAGCTCCCAGATACACCCCTCCAAATGCTGTCTCTATTTCTCTACCTCTGTTGACAAGGACTCTAGAGAAAAGTCCACAACTGTGTCACTGAGAATGCACGGCTTTCCATCTCAGCGGAGCACCGAGAACCCTTGAGCTCACCGTTTACCTTGGCACTCGTAAATGTCTTGCCTTAGATAGATGTATAAGCTGCAGGACTGATGTGGTGGGGAGATTTCTGGTGCCTTGGCTAGTTTCCTCAGGGGAATTTTGCTTCCGTGTAGTTTTTTCCCCCATCACTTTTGGTTAAAATCTGTGCCTCAGAGGCCAGCTCTTGATACTTGGTTTTCTTTGGCTTGCCTCTTACAGCCCTTTCCAGTCTCCCTTTGGGGTTGCAGACCTCAGAAACAGTGAAGGAAATTCTGCCCCTTAGGTTCTGATGTCCCACTCTGCTGTGAGGCTAGATGGGGCCAAATATTTGAATCCAGTGTAGTTTGTGTGGTTCTTCCTTCTCTGAGTGCGTGGGTAGGTGCCCTCACAAAGAGTTTCAAATGGGAGGGTCCCCATTACTACTATGGCACACCCTTGTAGTGGACCTTGCTTGATGGCTTGAGGATAGAGAGAATCTCATACCATGGCCCTGCCTTTGGGAAGAGGGTATTTGTGATATCACTGTTGTTCCTGCTGATGCCAAAGAGAAGTCCTGCTCCCTGCTCTGCACAGATTGGCAGTACCAACCACACTTTGGCTTTTCAAGGAAATAGAATACTATAGGGGGCAAGGGAAGTGGTGAGCTGGGGTGTGGGTTTGCGACCTTATCCAGTCTTCATGACTTAGCACTCCCAGAAATAGATTTCTGCCCTATCTACCCTGGATTGCTTATTCCTCAAGCATGGCTGGAGCATTTGGGGAGGAATGCTTATTTATTTATTCATTTAAGACAGGTCTTGCTCTGCCACCCAGGCTGGAGTGCAGTGGCATGATCACGGCTCCCTGCAATTTCAACCTCCTGGGCTCAAGCAATCCTCTCACCTCAGCCTCATGAGTAGCTGGGACTACAGTGTTCACCACCAGGCCTGGCTAATTTTTTTTTTTTTTTTTGTAGAGTTGGAGCCTCACTTTGTGCTTTGTTGCCCAGGCTGGTCTCAAACTCCTGGGCTCAAATGATTTTCCCACCTTGGCCTCCCAAAGTTCTGGGATTACAGGTGTAAGCCACCATGCCCGGCTTCACTTACTTTCCTGTGTAGCTGTCCCTCCTTTAAGAGACCCACACCTTGAAGGGCTATGATACCTCCCTCTGCCTTTTCCCAAGCCCAAAAACCCTACTCACCTCTGCTAGCTTCCCAGACCACGACAAGCCTCAAGCTGGCCAGGCTGACCAGCTATGCCAACCCTCAGCTGAGAGTGAATCCTGTAGGTTTTTGGCAAGAGAAGCAATGCAACCTACCCTCAGAAGTGAAGCTGTCATTGACTGGGAATCTGCTTCAGGAACAGGTTTAAGAAGCCATTGAAAATTCCTTCAAATTGTCTTCTAATCTCCACTTTCCAGAAGCAACAGCACCTTCTCAGGAGCATCAGAGGGCCTCAGGGATCACCTCTGAGTCAGGAACATGAGAATGCCCCAGCAGAGGTCGCTGGCAAGGCTGCGGCAGGGAAACATCACTTGCCCTCTGAGGGGCTCAAAACCCTGCCACCTGCAGAGACTCTTAACTCTCCAGTGATGCCAGAATCTCTTTCTCATTCCCCAATGATGCCACAAAGAGTCTTTTCAAATCTAGCCAAGAATGAGTAGGACTGTTGGCCAAGGTTGGGAATTCACAGGGGTCTCTCTGCCAAAGGGTCATTGGTGGAATGCCTGCCAGTCTAGCATGAGCTCCAGTTTTACATCTGAAGGGTGAGGGTGAAGGCCAGGAGGTAAAGGTGGAGATGGGGTGGAGGGGGCCGGTAATGAAGTGTTGTTTTCTCTCCACAATGGGACCTTGGCACAAGTTCTACAGTGCAGGAGCTATGAAAGGCAAAATTTCACTGGGCTCAAAGAAATTCTTAGCTAATAATTGTAGATGGGGTAGGGTGTTGATGCTAAGAGATCTGGTAAAAAGCTCTCTTCTAAAACATTTATTTATTTAAAACAACAAATATTTTATTTACAGGTTGTATGACTTCAATAATATATTCTTTCTCTCCTATTCAATTTCCTTTATATTTTTTTCACCAGGGGATGAACACTGAATATCTTCAGTTTCTGGGTACTATGGACTGAATTGTGTCTCTGTCTCCTCTAATTTCATATGTTGAAGCCCCAGCTCCCATTGTAATGGCATTAGGAGGTGGGGCCTTTGGGAGGTGATTAGGGTTGGACAAGGTCAGGAGGGTGGGGCCCACATGGTGGAATTACCATCCTCATAAGAAGAGACACCAGAGAGCTCGCTCTCTCTCTCTCTCTCTCTCTCTCTCTCTCTCTCTCTCTCTCTCTCTCTCCCTCCCTCTCCCTCTCACTGTGCCATGTGAGGACACAGCAAGAAGGTGACTGTCTGCAAGCTGAGAAAGGTGACTTCACCAGAACCTGCCCATACTGGCAAACTCCTATCTCAGACTTCCAGCCTTTAGAATTTTGAGAAAATAAATTTCTGTCACTTAAGCCACCTAGTTTATGATATTTTGTGATGGCAGCCCAAGCTAAGGCAGTGGGTGTGGATGGAGAGAGGACAATTTAGCATATGTGTAAGATGTGGGAGGTGGGCAAAACATTGGAAAAAAAGAACCAATAATGAAAGTAAGAATAAAGAATGAAAGCACAAAAGCTAATGGAGAGCAAGATGTTCTGTCCAGTTGCTCTGAGGTTTTAAAAAAACAGAAAATACGCCAAATTTCTTAGGGCACTGGCTTTCATTTTTGGCTACAAATTAAAATTACCTGAGGGGATGTGAAAATAGCTACAGAAGCCTGGGCTCCACCCCAGACCACTGGAGAAGGAGCACCAGACATGGAGCCTGGGTGTGGGTAGTGTTTTGTTTTGTTTTGTTTTCCTTGAGACGGAGTCTTGCTCTGTCACCCAGGCTGGAGTGCAGTGGTGTGATCTTGGCTCACTGCAACCTCCACCTCCCAGGTTCAAGTGATTCTCCTGCCTCAGCCTCTTGAGTAGCTGAGATTACAGGCTTGCGCCACCACGACCAGCTAATTTTTGTATTTTTAATAGCGATGGGGCTTCACCATGTTTGTCAGGCTGGTCTTGAACTCCTGACCTTGTGATCCACCTGCCTCGGCCTCCCGAAGTGCTAGGATTACAGCTGTGAGCCACCACGTTCAGCCGGGTGTGGGCAGTTTTAAAGCCCCTCCCCACCCAGGTGATTAAAATGAGCAGGGTGACTTGTGAGTCAGTGTCCTGCTGCTGGGATTCTCAAACTCAAATGGGCATCAGAAATGCCTTGGGGGGGCTCATTAAAACACAGATTGCTGGGCTTCTTCCTCAAGGTTTCTCACTCAGCCGGTCTAAGGTGAGTATGAGAATTTGCATTTTCGACAAGTTCTCAGCTGATGCTGGTCTGGGGAACCACAATTTGAAAACCATCGTCTTAGAGGAATAAATGCTGACCTTTTTTTTTTCCCATGGAAATATGCATGTGTACTCAATCTATAAACTTGACTAGCTTAGTTGGTTCTCTCTTGCATGTACCTGTAAGCAAAAACAGGGTACCACTTGTAACTTCAAATCAGAGTTCTGCCCATTCTGTCTCCACTTCATTTTGTTCAAGTTGCGACTGAGGAGCTCGGGCCATTTTTGGCCCTTTCCTACCCCTGAGGAGCCACAGTTCTTGCAGCTGGAGGATGGATTTACAATACGAACACTCATCTTTCCTCTACTCATGCATCCAGGGTCTGTCTTGCTTTATCGGGAGCCAGCAGGCTCCACCTTGAAAGATTCTCAAAGAACATCCCTGAGTCAGGGACTGACTGACCAAGGTGCTGAACCTCTCCCTCCTGTTGGGGGAAAAGTAGACTTGACTGGAGACATGGGTGGGAGACGAGACTGGGAGGCTTGAAAGCAAGGCTAACAGAGAAGGATGGTGGTGGAGGTGGAGTCAGGGGAGAGGGAGTGTCCTTGGAGATGCCCTTCTGCAGGCTTTAGTTGGTAAGTACCTTCCCACCAACCCAACTCCCCACCCCTGGGGTGAGGTCAGGGAATTAGGAAGTAAGTTGAAGTCTCAGCTTTCAGTTTCTGCACCCTGAACAGCTTGGTGATATTCACCTGACTACCTTAGCCAAAGAAACATCTTCAGTGCAATCCATTGTGTGTGGTCTGGGATGACAAGGGAAGAGATACTCTGGTGGAGTGCAACCTCTTCTTGAACATCCCTCAGGGCTCCAGCAGAGGCTGAGTTTGAAAGGCCTACAGTTCCTCTTCTCTCCTTTCCCCATCCCAGCCTCAGAGGTATCCAAAGACCAGGTGTCCCCAAGACAGCTCCCCTGGGACAAGAGACAAGAAACCTGAATTCACTATATTTTCCTCTTTTTCTGAGTCAGCCCCTTAATAGGTTAACAAGGAACCCTAACAGGTTGACAAGAAAGAATTGCATGAAAAGGAAGAAGAAGGCCCAACACTGCATCTGGGTTACAGAAAAGCATTTTGAATTTGCAGAATATCAGAGATAATTACATTCCATCAGAAATAGCAAAATGCTTTCTGAAATCAATCATACACACACACAAACACACAAACGCACATATGTAAATATGTGGAATGTTCTTTCTAGTTGTAGATAATCAGAAGCTGACCATGGTAGACTGATACTAAGTCAGAAGCTCACTCTGTGGAGTGAGACAGAGGCGGTTATTAACAATAGCATCACAGAACTGGGCGTGAAACTCTGGAGCTCTGCTCCCAGCAACTCCCCTCACTTCACAACAGCTCTAAGGGTTGTATTGTTTTTTGTTACCTCCAGGCCTTTAATTTGTCTGGTGAAGAGTAGGTGGTACCTCTGTCTGTGCACTCAATCACACCCCGTTCTCTCTGGAAACACACGTCTTCCTTCTCTTTTGTGTGTATTCAACCTCTCCCTCTCAACAGTCTTCCCATCAGATGTAAAATATGCTTGTGTCCTACTTCACTGCCCGACTCATCCATATTCACCACCTTTATTTTCTCACCTCCCATTCATTTCCCAGCCCACTCTAATTCACTTCTGGTTCTATTACTCCAGGATTCCAAGCCTCCTCTTATGTTTAATATTATTGATCAGCCCTTTCTTCTTGAACACCTCTCTCCTGGTTATCCTTCTATCTCCCTGGCAGCTCATCACAGACTCATCTTCCCCTTTGTGGCCCTTTAACACTGAAGTTCCCCAAGCCTGGTTGCAGGCCCTCTCCTCAGGCCTAGGCTGACCCATCTATCCCAAGGCTTCAAGGAATCACTCACTGTCAATGATTCGTCTCTTAACTAGCTGAACCTCAGCTCTGTATATCCAACCACCAACTTAACATCAGTTTTGGGCATCTCAAAAGCCTTCAAACAGCCAAACAGCCTGCTCTCATGATATTTTAATGCCAGTCTGGTCCTTTTCCAAGATTCCCATCTTGGTAAACCAGCACTAACATCCATCCTTGGCCACAAGCCAGAAACCTTTGAGTTTTCCTTGATGACTCCCTCTCCTTCATTGCCCCACATAACCCATCACTTGGAGAATGTGCAAGTTCTGCCCGTTGGACCTCCTAAATAATTCACAGATCTTTCCATGTCCATCAACTATTTCCATGACCATCACCCTAGATCAAGCTTCCACCTCTTACCGTCTAGGCTACTCCTACATCCACCTGGGCTCTTTCCAATAAGGAATCTTTTCAAGAAGCTATTCTGACCATGCCACACCCTTTGCTGAATATGTCAGGGGCTTCCCATTGCACTTAGGATAAAAAGATTTTCAACATGGCCAATATGGATGTCCTACGTTTGGTCCCTTTACCAATCTTCCTGACTTCATCTCATAGCTCCTTCTTCCTTGCTCCTCCAGCAGAGCTGGCCTTTCCTGAATTTCTCCATCTTATCCTGCTTAATCTCATCAGAGGACCTTTGCGTGCAAAGCTACCTCTAAAATATTCTCTGTCTAGTCAAACCTATTCCCAGCTCAAGTGACAGTTCCTCAGGGAAATCTTTTCTGGCCTTATTAACTAGTGTATTAATTGGTTTCATAGTATTATGTATCCTTAACAATTTGTATTATAAAACAGTGATAATTTTGCGTTTACTATTATTACTTTCATAGTACAGTGATTAAATCTGTAAACTCTACTGTATTGCCTGGCACTGAATGGGCATGCAATAAATAATTATTGCAGGAACAAAGGATGGCAGGAAGGAAATTAAGAAGGTTGAGAGGGAGGGAGAGAGGAAATGGGAAGAGAATGAATGAATAATCATCTGTATGTTCCCTTTCAGAATCACCAGAAACAGGCCAGCCCCACATGTAATAGGAAAGTAGTTTACCTGAAATCATTCATTTATTCAACAAATATTTATATATTCATTATTAAAGTAACTTACTTGTTTCTGATTGTGAACATAACTATTCCTCTCGGAAAACATGAGAAAATACCCAAAGTATAAACGAGAACCAAGTCACCCTTTATTCCATAGTCCAATGATGAACCATTGTTAACATAATTTGGTGTATTTCTTTCCAGGTTTTTTCTATGTGTATATATAGTATCTAAGTGGGACCATTCTATATATGACTTGTTTCTTGCTTCTTTCTCTTAATGATACATTGTGAACATGTTCCTATGTTGTTAAGAATTCCTTGAACACATGGCATTTAAATTGCTAAAATGTATTCTACCGAATGGTGTAGGTAGTTCAAACGCCTTTCCACCCGTTGTTGGATATTTAAAGGACTTGTCAATTTATCGCTTCTGTAACATTTACACGCTTTGTGGGGCCTCAGAAGTAAACCAGGTAATGCAAGGAATCTGGGAAGAGGTGGATTTGCAAGGAATCTCGGAGGAGGTGGATTTTGGAAAAACTGGAGGCAGCTTTTCCCGGGCAGCTGAAGAGAACACTTATCTCTCTGTAGGTTTCTGGGACCCGGACAGGTGTCCTCAGAATGGAACATATTGTCGGTCAAGGTAACCAGCTCTTCATCACTCAGGTGTGTGTACCGGAAGGGGGTGCCTGTTCGCTGCGCAGGTTAGGCCTAAGCGCACCTGCCCTTCAACCCTGTGCCGACGAGGCCCGAAGGCTTAAGCTCTGACCTGGCTACCGCCGCCAACCAGATGCGGTCCCCTGGGGCCACGCGCCGCCACGTGCCGCCACAGGGCCCGCCCCTCCCGCTCCAGGCCACGCCCCTCACCCACAGCCCTCGGAGGCTCTCTCCGCGGCTCCGCCTCCAAGCGACCTCCGCAAGTCCTCTCGTAACCCCTGGAGTAGCGCCGTCCCCGGGCGGCGGCCCCGCCCCCGCAATCCGGGCCCCGGGGCTGCCCCGCCCCGCCGGCCGCTCGGGAGGCGCGGGGGCGGGGCCCTGCGCGATGACGTGCGCGGGCGTGCGCGGTGACGGCCCGCGTCTCTGTTACTCAGCCGAGCGGCCGAGGCCGGACGACGCGGCTTGGATTGCGGAGCCGCGAGCAGCGCTGGGTAACGGCCGCGGCGACCACCCCGGACGGCCCCTGTCCCCGCTGGCGGGCTTCCCTGTCGCCGTTCGCTGCGCTGCCGGGTGAGTGCGGCGGACGCCGCAGGGCCGGGACGGCAGGCGGCCCCGTCGTGTTTATGTTATTGTGCCGCTGCCGCCGCCGCCGCCTTCTCCTCAGCCGTAACCCCCTCCTGGGAGTGGGGGCGGGAGCGCGCGGTGGGCGGGGGCGGCGCGGGAACAATAGCGGCGCGGAGGCGGGGGCCAGCCGAGGGGGCGTGGGGCTGCGGGACCTGGGTGCGCTCCGCTGCCCGCCAGCCCGCCTGCCGCCGCGAGCCCCGCCCGCCTGTCCTCTCGCGTCCTCTTCGCGTGGGTCCTGCCTCCGCGGCGGGAGAAGAAAATGGAGCGGGGGGGTGGGTGGCAAGTTCTGAAACACTTCGGCAAGGGTCGGACGGAGGTGTCTTTGCGGCCCGCCGCGCCCTGGCTGCCTCCGGGGCGGCGGGGAGCCGGGGAGAGCGCTTCTGCCGGCAGGTCCCCAAGCCTGCCCCGCGCCCATAGGGACCGTATTTTGCTTCTCGATGCTTTCTTTGTGCTAACGTTCTGGGCGAACGCAGGCAGCAGCGCTGAAAAGGGCCAGAGTGGCCTGCAGCTCTGGGCTGCAGGGCAGAGAGCCCAGGCCCGTGGCTCGGGTGGGAGGTGTCCATCCAGCTTGGCCCGAGCTTCGGTGGTCAGCGCGCATTTCTCTTGAGGGTCATCGGTGGTGACCTTTTGACTTTTTCACCCCACCCTCCCATCTCTTTGTCTCGCATTTGTGTTCCCGATTCAGAGATGGTAGAACCAAGTCCATTTTAAAGTACCCTGATGAACACTTTCCGTTTTTATTTCTGAAAGTTCCCTGCTTGGTCTTTACTGCGAATTTAATAACATGTTGACTACATGGCATTGTCCAGTGATTACTATTTTTACCTCTGAAATCCAGCGATCTTTCCAGTAGAATTCTGGTCCGTCAGTCCATTGTGTTTTGAGATAAGCATCCAGCAAGTACCTCCTTGGCAATTAGAACATCTGTTTTTTCATTCATTCATTCATTCAGCAGCTGTTTAGTACCGTACTCAGATGAAGAGGTTTGGTGTGAAGGTAAAGTATCCTTTCATGGAAGAGGATGCTTTGACTGAAGTATAATAGATGGACCTTTAAATGAGACAGTTACATAAGTGATGTCTGTTAAGGAAGGTATGGTTATATTCTGGGTCATTTTTTAAGCAGTATATCTGGAAGTTCAAGTGTAATAGGAAGTAGAATTAGATTTGGTCTAAATATACAACAGCTTTTATTTATTTCTAAATTTTATTTTTTCCAGTCTTGCAGCCTTACAGTCATTTGTAATGGTTACCTCAGATTCCCCTGCTGTGGTTAACGTTAAACCTAGGAGGTCAGATGCTCTAAGTGAACATGTTTAGTGCTGTGCCTGACAAAAGCAAGCAATCAAAATGGGACTTCCTTGAGGGCAGGCCTGTCTTGCATCTGTTTCTCCACCACCTAGCCTGGAATATAGTAAGTGTTCAATAAAAGTCGGATTGATGAAAAGCTCTTTGTAATTGATAATATTTAAAATCAAGCCTTAAAAAAAACCGTAATGTTCTCCATAAAGTTTTGGAAGCTTCATGCAACTGTCGCATCAGATGGCTAAATGGTCAGTTCATGTACATTATCTGTTATGATGACATGGGCTTTTGAATCACGTGTAGGTCATTCACTGTCCTAAAATAAAATCTTGTCTAAATATTTTTTTAATATGATAAATAAAGTAGGTTGTGGAGTGTGTGTTTCTGTGTATGTGCTAGTTTATGTGTGTCCGTGTGTGTGCATGTACGTAATCCACACACAGGCACTCATAAACTGGTATTTCAGTAGGGGTCTAAAATGATTGCATTTATAATTTTGTGAATATTATTTGAAAGTTTTTTGGTGACTCTTATTGTGGAAAATTGAGGACAAAACCACATAAATGTTTTATTAGAAATATTTCTAATATTTTAGAAATGTTTACTTGAAATGTTTGGTTTTAAGTTCTAACTTGTATTAACACAATTGGTACAAAATATGAGCCTAAAACTCAAAATAATTGATTTATCGAAGTTAAAGCTCTTTTCCACTTACTAAATACAGTTTAGCGTTTGTTTTGTATTTGAAAGAATATGAAATGAGTTAACTAATGAGTTTCTTATTATTTGCTGTAAAGTGGAAATGAAGAAATAAGAAAATAATACTTTTTTAAGATGATGGTTGAAAATCTTTGAGATACCAAAGTTTTATTGCTTTACCTAGTTAGGGTATGTCAGATTCTAGTAGGGGTTACTGACAATCCTTTGGCAGTAGCTCACAGGCTGTGTAAAGAACCAGAGTTGTGTTACTTTGTTTTCCAAATTGTTGGTTTTTAAAAATAGCTTTATTGCAATTTAATTGACATAAAATTCACCAGTTAGAGTGTATATATTTCGGTTTTTAGTATTTTCACAGTGTTGTGCCTTGATCACCATCACTAATTCCAGAACATTGTCATCACCCCAAGAAGAAACACCATATCCATTAGCAGTCACTCTGAATTTCACTTCAAATTATCCTTTAAAGTAAGAGATATAGCATCGATTCTGTTAGTAAATATATTCCTTTAGTAAGTATGAAAAGGGCTCCTTTTAAATGTCCTGTCCTGGCAGAATAGGAAACTATATCCTTCATACTCCTTTAGATCCTGGGGGAAATGCCATTTGGAAAGGAAGTCAGTGCAAGAATAAATTGTATACAAATTAATGTGGTTATAATCTTAACTATTTGCTCCATGCCTGATATTATCAAAGTGACCTTGTGAGGATGAGATGTTCAGTGAAACAACTTGAAGGAATTTGTTGTTAAATGACTAGTCCCCAACTATCCTAGTGCTAAGAGGTTGTTGAATAGGAGCCTGCTTCTTGTTGGTCTGCTTTGCCAGCGGGTTGAATTTTGACATATTTCAGTCATCTACATGGTTGAGATGCTTTGTTGCACGAGTGGAAATACAAAATAATGTCTGACATTAGGATTCCAGTGCTCTAGAGGTCTCTGGTCAAGTCAATGGTATGGGTAGTAGCTTTTCTGATTCATGTGGTCCAAGGAAGTCATTATAACCACATAGCTTTATATATGAATCATTTGCCTATGTCAGTGAACTGTGATGCTGATTGTCTTAATCATGAGCTCTTTACCTGAACATTTAGAAGCCTTGCATTCTTACTCTTAATGCAGGTTAAGTTGAACTTTGATTTCAGAAGTGAGTTGACTGAAAGGTAACAGGAGTATTGAAATGAGTTATCCTGTCATTCAGGTCAATAGGTGGAGCTAGAGCAATCCAGGAATCAGACCTAGGTTCATTTCTCAGTTCTGCCATCTGGACTTTGTCATCAAATTCTGGAGCTTTAGGCAAGTGCCTTAATGTTTTTGGCTTTAAAAGTATAAACTGAGGCTGTCAGAACTTTTTTTTATAGAAGGCTTGTTCCTCAGATAGGTGGTTCTTGAGAAAACATACTAGGACAAAAAGAGCCCTTCTTGGGTGATAATCAGAAGCCTAAGTTAAGAACAGTAGTCAAAGTTAGGATTTTGTAATTTTGTAATTTTCAGAAGCCAAAAAAATTGTTGAGTTGAATTTTTTCTTTAATATCCAGACTTAGAAAACAAATGGAAGGCTTCACCATAAGCTAGAGATTCTTGGAAAGGTAGGCTTTTATTTATTCCACAGCATCATGCCTTCTAATGAGACCGTATGCTCCCAGAGACTTTGTGGAAGACATAAAATGAGTTCATTATCCTCAGGAAGCTTATAATCAAGGATTAGACTGAAGGCATCGCTAAACAGTTAATTTATGCTCTTTTAAAAGGTATATGAAAGGGTTCCCGCCAAACAAAAGCCCACTTCACATCTCTGTGCAGGCCAAATTTCACTGAAATCCAGTTTTTAAAATTGTGTGTGTGTGTGTGTGTGTGTGTATGTGTGTATACGTATGTGCATGGAGAGAGACAGAGAGGAGACCCCTTTTTGGAAAACTTAGTAGCTTCCATTCTTTTTCTTGGAGGTGGGTTATATCACAAATACAAGAGATACCTGTGTTTCCTGTTACCCTTTATTATATTTCAGATTTAGTTAAAATCTGCCATTCTTTAGAAAGTCAAGGAACTCAAACCTTACAATGATTGCTAGCGTGGGTTTTAAGGTCAGCCCTGAGTTCTAATCGTGCTCCAATCTAACTGTGGTATAGGCTAGTTCAGGTTATATAACATATTTGGGCCTGTTTTATTATCTGTCAAATGAGAATAATAATAGCACGTAACCTCATAGGGCTGTGAGGTTTAAATTAGGTACTGCATGTAAAGTGCCTGGCACTGTTGTGGTGGCTGGAATGCTAGATACAAGTATTCAGGTAGTTTTTGCTATTGTTATCACTTATATTTAACTTTGAACAAACATAAAATGCCAAGTAAACGTCAAACCAGTTTAATGCACAGTGTCCATTCTAATTCTCCAGAATATGCCATTTGTTTCACTCTGCATCTCTGGGGGGTTTATTTAAAATTCGATCATCTCATGTAATCTGAATTGACTGAGATGATTTATATTAACATTTGGACCAGTAATCCTCTCTATCTTAAAATTTGGAAATGTTCCAGAAGCAAATATTGAAGGGAACATATTTGCCACTTTCACGATTTTTTGCCTTTTCCCACAGGAGAAAATTGCCTAAGCTTTCCTAGGTTTGTTATAGACATCTAAAGGAATGAGAATTTAGGAGCTACGAATAGCTTTATCATGTGACACATTTGAAGAAAATGGAATGCTGTCACATCTTTTAAATTTAGTGTTATTGGGATCTTCGATTCTGTGAAGATTGCAGATTTGTCAGAGACCTGGTAACCACAACAATTCATTGAGGCCTGGAGGCCTCTTAAAAAATGAGGGAGATTATTTATTAGTACCACTTAGAAATATTATCTTTTCTGTATTTTCTGTGGTTTTCTAAGTCTTCTGTTTAGCGTTTCTATGATTATAATGGTGGATTAAATTTCTTGTTCCTTCTCAAGAGCATCTACTATGAGATGACACTGGTTTTTACTTCGGCAGTATTTACTGAGCATTGCACTATACTAATCCAGGTATTCGGTGATGTAGGAACCAAAGGAAATAGAAGTCAGTTTCTACCCTCAGTGAGCTGAGTATAATTTGATAGAAGATAAGGATTAACGTAAGCACATTTATGTCCTAACACAAGGAAGCAAATATTGTTAGTCATTTCATTAGGAATTTCTTTTGTCATTGGGGCATTTGGGGCCTTCCAAACCTTACATCTCTTGCCATGCCTTTGTACTCACTCGATAAACCTGAGAAAGCAAGATATCTTCTTTTCTGATTCCTGGTTTAAGTTGAGAGTGTGGTGCACATTAGTCAAAATCCAAATCATAAGAAAAGGCAAACCTTATGAATTCATTTTGGAATACAACAGGGTATCAAAATAAGTATATGAGAAATATGAAAAGCTGACAGTAGAAAAGATGCTACTCAGGTACTAACCAGAGTTCTCAATCTCCTCTGTATTGAAGCTCTTATGATGTAAGGCTGGATCTGTACTAGAAACACTTTTTAAAGTCTCTCTCCAGTATTGAGAAGTATAGTCCTCCAGTACTGCCTCTTGGTGCTGAGAGACTCAAGCCTGCCACCCACCATATTTCTGGGGAAACTAGAAACGAAAAATAGCCACACACAAGCACTTGCTTTGCTTGGCAGGAAACATCAAAACCATAAGATGTTATTTCCTAAAAGTCATTAATTGGGTAGAAAAATCACCATTTTCTGACTTGTTCCAGGAAGGATGGCTTTCTGATTTTCAGATGCCATTGGGTCAACCAAAGGTAAGATAAAGAAAAGCTACTGCTGTGTGGATTTTTCTGTGACTTGAGAAAGCGTCACTTTTCAGTTAAACAAAAACCAAAGCATCTAGCTTTGGCTGTTACTATTGAGAATTTAAAAGTCTTAATGTTTTAATTTGTTTACATTTTATATTTTGACTAAGTAGTAATGAATTCACTTTGACTCAAAATTCCAAAGATTTAAAAAGATAAAGAATCTCCTTTTCTACTCTGTGTAGCCACCTAGTTCTTCTGCCTGGAAACTGTTAAAATTCCTGTGAATACTTCCAAAGATAGTTTATATATGTTTAAGTATATAATCCTTTGTTCAAAATCCTTGGTCCAGATGTATTTTAGAATGAAGGCTTTTTTTGCAGTTGTGGAAAGATAATGTAGCACATCTACCGTGTTATCCAAAATCCCTAGTAAGAGGTTGTAGCCTCATGATTAAACACATTAACATTTCTGTAAAAAATACAGACATAGGCCAGGCGCGGTGGCTCACGCCTGTAATCTGAGCACTTTGGGAGGCCGAGGCGGGCGGATCACCTGAGGTCAGGAGTTTGAGACCAGCTTGGCCAACATAGTGATACCCCGTCTATACTAAAAATACAAAAATTAGCTGGGCGTGGTAGCGTACGCCTGTAATCCCAGCTACTTGGGAGGTTGAGGCAGGAGAATCTCTTGAATCTAGGAGGCGGAGGTTGCAGTGAGCTGAGATCGTGCCACTACACTCCAGCCTGGGCGGCAGAGGTGTAGACTCTGTCTCAAAAAACAACAACAACAACAACACCCAGAAATAATCAAAGACATTAATATTTTTATAAAAGCATAACAAATACAAGTAGGGTGAATAAAGATTATAAAATCTTATGCTACGTCTCGTCAGGTTTTACCACCAAATACGTTTGTACTAAACTTATTTTAAAAACGTATTTTTCACAGCTTTATGGATTTTGGCTTTGCCAATGAAGGATAGGTGTCATACATATATACAGTACTGTATAGCCTCTGCTCTGCTCCCTCCCTTTTTATTTAATGTAAGTTGTTGCATGCAATATGTATCACCTTTTGCTTTTTTGTTTTTTGCTTGTTGGTTTGTTTTTTGAGACGGAGTCTCACTCTTGTTGCCCAGGCTGGAGTGCAGTGGCACAATCTCAGCTCACTGCCACCTCTGCCTCCGAGGTTCAGGTGATTCTCCTGCCTCAGCCTCCTGAGTAGCTGGGATTACAGGTGATCCACCTGCCTTGGCCTCCAAAGTGCTGGGATTACGGGTGTGAGCCACCGCACGTGGCCTGCTTTTTGTTTTAATATAGCTGAGAGATTATTTTATATCAGTCATATCAGTATGTAAATGGCATGCTTTTTTAACATCTTTGTGGTATTCCATTTGTCTTACTCTGTTTGGGCTGCTATATCAAAATACCATAACTTGAGTGGTTTAAACAACAGAAATTTATTTCTCACAGTTCTGGAGGTCGGGAAGTTCAAGATTAGGCTACTTAGTCAATTTGGTTCCCTGGTGAGGGTCCTTTTCCTGGCTTTATAGGTGGCCGGCTTCTGGATGTATCCTCACATGGCCCCTAAGAGCTCTAGTCTGTTCCTCATCCTATCATGGGGGCTCCACCCTCATGACCTAATATAGTCATGAGAGGCTTAGTTAACTCCTAAAGGTCTCTCCTCCAGATACTATCAAGTTAGAGGGTAGGCCTTCAACATATGAATTTGGAGGGACACAGACAGTCCATAACATCATTATACTGGTATACCATTTAACTCCTTTCTGATGCATATTTAGGTAGTTTTCAGACTTTTGCTATCAAAAGCCATGGTGCAGTGGATTACCTTGTGCATACGTCGTGTTGCACTTAAATGCATAGGATAAATTTCCAGAGGTAGAGTTCCTAGGCCAGCGTATGTGCATTTGTAATTTTATGTATTGCTGAAGTGTAGCCTGTAGAGGTTGTCCAACTTCCATTCCACCAGCACTGTGTAAGGATGCCTGCTTCTTATTACCCTTAGACGTCTTTCATCTTTTAAGGGCTGTTTGTGTTTTCTTTCTTTTGAACTGTCCTTGTCTTTGCATGTTTTTCTATTGCTTTGTTGCTCATTTTCCTAGATTTGTAGGATTAATTTTACAAATTGGCTCCATGCTATTTTTTGGAAATGTTTTTCCCCAATTTGCTGTTTTCCATTCTATGGTAGGCTATTATGTATGGTTCCAACTTTATTTTCTTCACCAGATATCCATCCATTTGTCCCTACACCATTTATTAAATAATCCATCTTTGTCTTAACTGATTTAAAATGCCACCTTTACCATTTACAAAATTTCCACGTGTATTTGGTACCATTGTTTCCATTGACCCATCTGCCTGTTTGGGACCTGAGCCATCCTGTTTTTATTATTGTAGTTTATGCTGTGTTTTCTGCTAGGTCTAATTCCCTTTTATTTCTCTTCCTTTTCAGAAGTTTTTTTCTGGCTTCTATCTTGTTTATTTTATATGAACTTCTAAAAACAACCCATCTAGTCTAGTCTGTACCCCTCCTCTGCCAGTCTTTCTGTTGGAATCACTTTTTTTATTTTATTGTGGTAAAATTATGCACAGCTAGATGCACAAGCATTACAGTCCAATAAGTTTGCCTTTGTATACACTTGTGCAATCCCAGATCAAAATACAGAACACTTCCATCACCCAGAACCTTTTCTTACATCCTTTTCAAGTTACCTTGCTCCCCAGTGATTGGCTTCTATTAAATGGATTCAGTGTACTGTTAGGATTTCTTTGTATTTATAGAATAAGTGACAGCTTTATGATGTACCTTTATATCCAAGAATAGGAAAAACAACCTTTTCATTTGTTGAAGTCTCATTTTGAGTTCCTGATAGCATTTTTAAACATTAAAATTTTTTTTTGCTGTTTTATATATTTAAGTTTTTTTTTTTTTGCTGGAAATGGCATCTTTTTTTCCACTTTTATCTTCTATCTGGTTATATATAAGAAAGCTTTTTATTTTGTATATTAGTTAATATTTCATATATTAAATAATAAGCCCCCTGTAGAATATTTATTATTTCTAATAGTTTTGTAGTTGAATTTTTTATTTTTCTTATGTCATGCCAGCTTTTTTGTTTCCTTTGATTTTTACCTCCTCCCTCCCCCAACTTTTTATACTCTTATATTTTTTCTTATTGCATTTATAGTGGTGATTTTAGAAGATTATAGTTTTCCTCCATTATATGTAAAATGAGCCAAAATATCTGTTTATCTGTTGAGTATTTAAATGTTATGAATAATAATGAAATTAGGGAGGGATTATGGGAATACTTAAAGTAGTGTGAAGTTTTCTCTCTAAAGTTAATGTAACTTGAAATGAATTGTGGTTTTCAAAATGTTAAATGGACAAGTTGGGGATCACTTGATAGTGAATGTAGGATTAGCAGTTAACTGCCTTGTGTCTTATTTGATGATACAGTCATGCACCACATGGTGAGGTTTCGGTCCATTACAGACCACATATGTGACAGTGGTCCCATAAAATTATACCATATTTTTACTCTATTTTTTCTATGTTTAGATACACAAATACTTCCCATTGTGTTACAGTTGCCTGCAGTATTCAGTACAGTAACCTGCTGTACAGGTTCGTAGCCTAGGGTCAGTAGGCTACACCATATTATAGCTTAGGTATGTTGTACTATCTAGGTTGGTGTAAGTAGATTCCATGATGTTTGCACAGTGACGAAATTGCCTAATGATGCATTTCTCAGAAGGTATCCCCGTCCTTAAGCAAGGTGTGACTATGTGTATAGGCTGCTTTCTATGTGCTTAGCACCCAGAGGCAGCTCCCGGAAATATAATTTAGTCTGGTGTCAGAGAGCATGCAGTCAAAGTAGAGGTCAAGATATGAGAAGTATGAAGTGAATGAATGTAGACAGGAGGGTCTTAAGCTTGGAAAAATGCAAAAATCAAGTCAGGAAAGCACAGGAGTGAGAGGGTGCAAAGAGTGAGTTTGATTTGGCAACTGGATTGGGGCAGGTTGCTCATCCTTATAAAATTATATGGTAGTTAGGTACTTAGCTGAACTTCAGTAGAGATCTCATTGCTTAATGGGGATTAAATAGTTTATTTTCTGTCTCTTCTTCCCTTCCCCTGCTCCCACCAAAAAGCTAAGGCAGTTTTCTACTGAAGGACGCATACATCGTTAAGTAAGCTAGAAACAAAAAGTTAGAACCTCGGGAAAACAAGTATCCAGACTATCCTAATGGTATAGGAGCTAATGCATATTTGGTGCCTATCATATACCAGGCACTGTTCTTGTGCTTTATGTATGTTAAATTGTTTAAACATCCCACAGCAACCCTACAAGGTGGGCACTGTTACTCCCATTTTATACATGAGGAAACAGGCATAGAGAGATTATATGGGAAGTTGTTGGTGATCTTGTTGGGTGGTTTTATTAAAGTGGGAAGAAAGAAGCCAAGTTGAAGATGGTTAAAAAACAATGAATGATTTTTCTTTTTAAAGACAGGGTCTCCCTCTGTTGCCCAGGCTGGAGTGCAGTGGTGTGATCGTAGATCACTGCAGCCTTAAACTCCTGGGTTCAAGTGAATCTTCCTGTCTCAGCCTCCAGCCTCCCGAGTAGCTGGGACTCGGCTGGCGAATTTTTAAGTTTTTTGTAAAGATGGGGTCTCACTGTGTTGCCTAGGCTGGTCTGAAACTCCTGGCCTCGTGATCTTACCACCTCCGCCTCCCAAAGTGCTGGGATTATAGGCGTGAGCCACCACACCCAGCCCCTGAATGAAACACTTTGAAAAAGAGTGAGAAATGAGCAAGTGCTGACACAGTGGGTGCAGACCACTCTTTTAAGATTAGCTCTGAAGTGAACAAAGAAATGGGTTGGTGGATAAAGGAAATTGTGAGGCTCAGAAAATGAGTGAAAATGGCATTGCTGTATGTAGGAAAGGGGATGCAGAGTACGGGTAGAGAGTTTGGCCCTCAGTAGAGGAGAGATCTTTTCCATCTAACAGGAGGAAATGCAGAAAAGTTGTGTGCCCTTGCGAGGAAGTTTGGAAGTTGGAAGGTGAAGGCCTATTCTCCTGGCTTTCATCTTCTCTGTGGTTTCTGTTTGCTCAATGAAGCATGAGATTCATACGGGCAGAAAGGGATGGGAGTTTGGGGAGTTTGAAGCAGTTTGCCAAGAAGTATTGATTGTTCATTTAAGGTTTAAAATCTTGAATTTAAAGTGATATCAGTCAGCCTGGTTTTGTGACCCCCCACCCCCCCAGCATTATTTAGCTGATTAGTTACAGGCACAGATTAAGGCAGGTAGTTGAATTTACCCAGGGTGAGATTTTGCCAGGTGTATTAGAGTTCTCCAGAGAAACAGCAAATCGGAGTTATAGGTAGGTAGACTGAGATTTTAAGGCATTTGTTTTTGTGAGGGCTGGCAAGTCTGAAATCTGTAGGGCAGGCAGGAAATTCTTGGTCAGGAGTTAATACTGCAGCCTTGAGGCAGAATTTTGTTTTTCTCAGGGAAACTTGTTTTTGCTATTAAAGCCTTACCAAGTGATTGGATGAGGCCTACCCACGGTATCAAGGATAAGCTCCTGTACTTAAACTTGACTGTTTGTAGATATTAATCACATCTACAAAATACCTTCACAGCAACTACATTAGTGTTTGAATAACTGGGTACTACAGACTAGCCAAATTGACACTTAAAACTAACCATCACACCAGATCAGTTCAAAAGAAGGAAAGGGGGACAAGGGAAATAAGGACCTTTTAACTAGAATGCTTATTGTGTGGTGGTGGTTGAGTGTGTAACTGGCCACAGGGTTTGAGTAAGTTAACTTGAAAGATTGAATGCCATGGTCAGAGTGGAATACCTGAAAGAGAGATTTCACAAGTATGACAATTATTGACATTAATAATGCTCAGGTTAACTTTGGGTGTGGGCTTCCGAGGTGGAATTCAGAGACAAATCCTGAACGTGAGGAGGCCAATGAGTTAAAGAGTCTGAGGTATTAAAAAAGGGTCAGTCTGCATGCATGGTGAAATCAGCAACTAGTGAGGGGAGTAAGGGTACGTACTGTAAACCAGTTGTAATGTCCTCAATGAATAAGGAAGAATTGGAGGGAGGCTAGACGAACAAGAAAGGTTAAAGGTAGTGTAACAGGCTAAGTTTGCTTGTCACAAATTGGGAATTTCAGAAGGCCAAGTAAAGGAATTAGGAGGATGAAGAATTGAGTCAAATGGAGGACGTACACAGCAGTGTGGCAGTGAGAATTCAGAGAATAATAGATAACCAGGGAGAGCTGGATTTTTTCTGGTGACCATAAGCAGGGATGTGAGGTATGAGAGGATTAGTCCTGATACAGGAGATGGTGGTTATCACTTTTAGTGTTGTAGGACTCTGTGGCAGTGCTTTCAGACTGTTACTCATGACCCATTAGTAGGTTATAGAATTTTGGGAGATCACAATTTCTGTTACGTTGTTAAAAGAAATGAAATAGAAAATACCATAGTGTGTCATGTGTAATAAGGGACTAAGAATTTTTTAACGGTTTTATTGAGATATAATTCACATACCATTATAGTTATCTATTTGAAATATACAGCTCAAAGCTTTTTTAGTATATTCCTGGAATAATGGAGCCATCATCACAGCCTAACTTTAGAACATGTTTGTCACCCCAGAAAGTAACCTCATACTCACTAGCAGTCACTCCCCATTTCTTCACACACACCCCCTCCTCTCCCTGGCCCTAAACAGCCACTTACCCACTTTCTTCTCTATAGTTTTGTTCATTCTGGCTATCTCTTTTTTATTTTTTTGAGATGACGTCTTGCTCTGTTGCCCAGGCTGGAGTGCAGTGGCGTGATCCCGGCTCTCTACAGCCTCCACCTCCCGGGTTCAAGCAATTCTCCTGCCTCAGCCTCCCGAGTAGCTGCGATTACAGGTGCCTGCCACTAGGCCTGGCTAATTTTTTTGTATTTTTAGTAGAAACAGGGTTTCACCATGTTGGCCAGGCTGATCTTGAACTCCTTACCCCAAGTGATCTACCCACTTCAGCCTCCAAAAGTGCTGGGATTACAGGTGTGAGCCACTGCACCCAGCGCATTCTGGATCTCTCATGTAAGTGGAATCATACACTGTGCGATCTTTTGTGACTGGCTTATTTCACTTAGCATGATGTTTTTAAGGTTCATGTATCATGTATCAGTACTTCGTTTCTGTTTTTTTTTCTTTTCTTTTTTTTTGAGACAGAGTTTCACCCTTGTTGCCCAGGCTGGAGTGCAATGGCGTGATCTTGGCTCACTGCAACCTCTGCCTTCCTGGTTCAAGTGATTCTCCTACCTCAGCCTCCCCAGTAGTTGGGATTACAGGCGCATGCCACCACTGCCAGCTTATTTTGTATTTTTGGTAGAGATAGGGTTTCTCCATGTTGGTCAGGCTGGTGTTGAACTCCTGACCTCAGGTGATCCCCCACCTTGGCCTCCCAAGTGCTGGGATTTCAGGTGTGAGCCACTGCTCGGCCTTTTTTTTTTTTTTTTTTTTTTTTTTTTTTTTAAATTAGATCAGGTCTTGCTCTGTCACCCTGTTACCCAGGCTGGAGTGCAGTACCATGATCGTGGCTCACTACAGGCTGAAACTCCTGGGCTGAAGCAATCCTCCTGCCTCAGCCTCTTGAGTAGCTGGGACCACAGGCACATGCCACCACACCTGGCTAATTTTAAATTTTTTGTAGAGGCAGGCTCTCCCTATGTTTCCCAGGCTGGTCTTGAACTCCTGGCCTCAAGTTATCCTCCCACCTTGAGCTCCCAAAGTGCTGCTGAGATTAGAGGCATGAACCACAGTGCCTGACCTTCATTTCTTTTTATGGTGAAATATTATTTGGTTGTACGATATGCCACATTTTATTTACCTACACTTCATTTGATGGGCATTTGGATTGTTTACACTTTTTGGCTATAGTAAGTAATATAGTACACAAGTTATGAATATGAACATTTGTACACAAGTTTTTTTGTGTTGTATGTTTTCATTTCTCTTGGGTATGTATCCAAGAGTGGAATTGCTGGGTCATATGGGTAACTCTATGCTTATTATTTTGAAGAACTGCCAAACTGTTTTTCAAAGTGGCTGCACCATTTTACATTTCCACCAGCAAGGTGTGAAGATTCCAAATTCTCCACATCCTATTCAAGCTTGTTATTGTCTGTCTTGAAAATAGCCACCTGATGAGAGTGAAGTGATAGCCCATTGTGATTTTAAATTGCACTTCCCTGATAGCTAATGATATTGAACATAGTTTCATGTGCTTCTTGGCCACTTTTATATCTTCTGGAGAAGTATTTCAGATTCTTTGCCTATTTTAAAAATTGAGTTATTTATCTTTTTATTACGTTGTAAGAGTTTTTTTTTTTTTTTTTTTTTTTAAGAGATGGGGTTCTTGCTCTGTCACCCATCCTGGAGTGCAGTGATGCAACCTGGGCTCACTGCAGCCTCAAACTCTTGTACACAAATGATCCTCCCTCCCCAGCCTCACAAGTAGCTAGGACCACAGGTGTGCCCTGCTAATTTTTAAAATTTTTTGTAGAGATGGGGTCTCACTGTGCCGCCTAGGTGCTGTAACTCCTGGGCTCAAGTGATCCTCCCACCTTGGCCTCCAAAAGTGCTGGGATTACAAACATGAGCTTCCTTGCCTGGCCAAAGAGTTCTTTATATATTATAGATACAAGTTGCATAACAGATGTATGGTTTATAAATATTTTCTCCTGTTTCAGAGGTAGTCTTTTTACTTTCTTGATGGCATCATTTGTAGCACAAAAAGTTTTAATTTCAATAAAGAAATCCAATGTATTTGTTTTTCCCTTGTGCTTTTGGAATCTTTTATAAGAAGCCAATGCTTAACTCAAGGTCATGAAGACAACTTCTGCATTTTCTTCTGAGTTTTATAGTTTTAGCTCTTACATTTAGGTCTGTGATCCATTTTGAGTTAATTTTATGGTGTATGGTATAAGGAAGGCATGTGAGGTAATTCTTTTGCATATAGACATGCAGTTGTCCTAGCTCCATTTGTTGAAAATACTGTTCTTTCTTACCAAATTGTCTTGGGCATTCTTGAAAAAAAGGCAGATTTATTTCTGGACTCTGAATTCTATTCCATTGATCTATGTGTCTATTCTTAGGTTCCCACGGTGTGTTGATTACTGTAGTTCAGAATTTTTTGAAAGTTGTGTTTCACATAGATGTGTGAGTATATTTATATATAGATACACACAGAGGTGTGTGTGTAATGGGTTATGTTGGAAAATGTTGGAAAACCTATGGTGTCTCCCCATTAGTTCACTCGCTTGTGGCAACTTAGTGGAGTATGTTCCCTCTCAGGTAATATACAGAGAAGACAGGTTAGAGGGTCTGTCTGTGAGTGTATGAATTCCTTTTAGATTGGATGACTGATTTTTCTTACTTTAGTAAAGTTTTCAAGTGCATGTGGACTGAAGGGCAGTAAGGAGGGCATAGAACAGCTATGGGAATTCCTAAAGAATTCATCAGAGATGAATGTAACGATTATGGAGTGAAGTATTTGAAATTTTGAAGTTAGCAGGGTTTTGTACTGTGCCAGTCTTTCATGATTTAAAAAAAAAAACTTTTTTGAATATATTAAGCATGTCTGTGTCGGATAACTTAAGACATTATATAAGGAAAATTATATAGATAATTTAAGGTTTGGGAATGATGCTATCTCCTTCTAGAGAGGATTTTTGTTGACTTTGGCAGGAGGCAAGCTAGTGGCACTAGCAATCCCGAATCATCTTAATCCAGTCAGAGACTATGATGTTTCAAAACTGGGTTCCGGAGTCTACGAAGGCTGGTCTATTTTATGTTTTATTTACTTCTAGGTATGACCCCTTGGAGTTCTAGCATAAAGCCAGGGATGTTATCAGCCCCACATGCCCCCACCCTCACACTTTCTTGGGCCCTTAACTCCAATATTTAATCCTCTCTAGTCATGTAAATCTATTGCAAGTTCAAGCTCAGCTTCTCAGCCACGTCTTTGGAATTGGCAGATCCCTTCAGGGGGAGAAATGGCCCCGGATGCCAGACTCCCTTATGAGCTTTTCCTTACTCTCCCAGATCTTGGTCTTCATGCTTTTTCACTACCTTGGCACTCTGATGCCCTCAAACAGGTTTTTTGGTTTTGATTTTTAAAACATTTTTTCTGGGGACTTGGGCAGGTGTCCAGTTTTTCTAGTTGCTCTCAGTACGATAATTGGTTTGAATTATCTAGTTCACCATTTTAAGGAAAGCGATTTGTTAGGTTGATCAAGGTTTATGTCATAAGATTCTCTGTTTGAAATTGTAGTATATGTGGTTTCAGTTTTTCCTGAGGGTAAGATTTTGGGTACCAGTTTCTACAGATTATAGAAATTATTAGAAAAGGGGGAAATAGCCTTAGGAATAGAAATGGGAGGGAAAATGGCAGAGAAAACTAGATATTTTTGCAAAGTTTGGGAAAGATAAAGGTATAGGGTAACATTTTCATGTCTATTAGGAGTGTAAAAGGGCATTCATGTATCAAAGGCGCTGACATATTTGTTGTAATGATATTGTCATAATTAAAAGGCTGTAGAATCTAGGTATTGTGGGGGTGGCTTTGAGAAGTATCTACTTAGTCGTGTTGAATAAAATTTTTAAATTTCGCAGAGAAACCCTAGGATACTGAGTCATTAATTGAAGGAGTCAACTTTGGGGCTGGACTTATGGTTGTGTCTTATAGCAGTATAAATCTGCGCAGCCAGTAGTATGTAAGGGATTGCAGAAAGAATTTAATTTCATAGAACCCATTATTAATATGAGAGATACAAAATGATACTGATTTTGATTTAGCATGCCATCTTCATTTATGTATGAAAATAAATGTAAGGTCTTAAAGAGTTTTTGTTTTTGATTCTCTAAGCTATTCCCATACTTCTTAAATTTCAAAATTACAAAGTTTTCCATACATCTTAATCATTATAATTGAGGAAAAATGGTATATCTTTAATAGCCCCTTCTTCTCTTGAGAAAATGATAGATACTGGGTGTATTTCAGAAGGTTTTATCAGCAGAGTTTTGGTTGATATTTTAAACTTTTTGAGGATAGGAATTGTTTAGTAAAATGATGCCCTCTCTTTTTTGGCTCCATCTTCCAGTATATGTGTCATAGGAACCTGGTTTAAGTTCAGTGTGTTTCTTTGTTACACCTGTCAGTAGAATCGGCTATTACTGTTTTTTGGTTCCTTACAACTGAACATTTTGGTCACCGTCCTCACCCACTTTTTAAAGTGACTTCATTCTCCCACATCACTCCCAACTGAAGAATGTTCAGACATACACATTGAAAGAATATTACGGTAAACACCTGTATACTTCATTTGGATATTGTGGTTGTTAGCTTTTTTGTCATATTCGTTTATGTCTCTCCTAAAAGTAAACACATTCTCTTACATATGTCATACTTAAGCCCTTAATATCTAGTTCATATTCAAGTTTTGCTAATTATTCCCCCAAAAGGTCAGTTTGTGCTGCAACCAGGTACTGTGATTTCTCACCTAGTTTCCATAGCTCTTGTGAAGGTGTTTTCGTGCATGGATAGTGTTCAAATTGATGTTTCTGTTAGGGGACAATCACTGGAGAGTCCTATTCTTCCATCTTATTCTGCCCCTCTCCTCCAAAAAGGTCAACTTGTAACTGCTTTTTTCAAACCAATATTCAATCAGTTTATGAACCACATTTGATCGTTGTTGCTTTAGTCACTTATACAACAGTTGTCCTGTTTTCTAGTTTTTTTTTTTTTTTTTACACTCATGATATTGGCTTCTTGAAGAGACCAGGCCATTTGTCATATAGAATGTTTCCCATATTTTGGATTTGTCTGATTTTCTTGTAGCAATTAACTTTTATCTCAATTCCCACTGTATTTCCTAAAGTAGAAGATTGAGCCTAAAGACTGGATTATATTTAGTTTTTTTTTGGCTTAGTTACTCCTGTGTACGTTATATTGACTCATAACACAGGCATCAGGTGGTTTGCCTAAAGTGTGATCATTTGGTGTTAAGGTGGTATTCACCAGATCTATCCATTATAACAATGGGTTTCCCCTTGACAATCAGCAGATCAGTGAGATGACGTTTTGGTTCCCTTTGAATATCCTGTTTTCCAGCAGCCTTTTACCTGTGTGTTGAGTCTCTTGG